>NC_000013.11:80089353-80242193 GCF_000001405.40 Homo sapiens
CCATTTATTAAATAGGAAATCCTTTCCCCATTGCTTGTTTTTGTCCAGTTGTCCAAGATCAGATGGTTGTAGATGTGTGGTCTTATTTCATTTCTGAGGTCTCTATTCTTTTCCATTGGTCTATATGTCTGTTTTGATACCAGTACCATGCTGTTTTGGTTACTGTACCTTATAGTATAGTTTGAAGTCAGGTAGCGTGATGCCTCCAGCTTTGTTCTTTTTGCTTAGGATTGTCTTGGCTATGTGGGCTCTTTTTTGGTTCCATATGAATTTTAAAGTAGTTTTTTCTAATTCTCTGAAGAAAGTCAATGTTAGTTTGATGGGAATAGCATTGAATCTATGAATTACTTTGGGTAGCATAGCCATCTTCACGATATTAATTCTTCCTATCCATAAGTATGGGATGTTTTTCCATTTGTTCGTATCCTGTCTTATTTCCTTGAGTCTGTGGTTCTCCTTGAAAAGGTCCTTAACATCCTTTGTTGGCTGTATTCCTAGGTATTTTATTCTCTTTGTAGCAATTGTGAATGAAAGTTCATTCATGATTTGGCTCTCTGATTGTCTATTGTTGGTGTATAGGAATGCTTGTCATTTTTGCACATCGATTTTGTATCCTGAGATTTGCTGAAGTTATCAGCTTAAGGAGTTTTGGGGTTGAGATGATGGGGTTTTCTAAATAGACAATCATGTCATCTGCAAACAGAGACAATTTGACTTCCTCTCTTCCTATTTGAATACCCTTTATTACTTTCTATTGCCTGATTTCCCTGGCCAGAACTTCCAATACTAAGTTGAGTAGGAGAGGTGAGAGAGGGCATCCTTGTCTTATGCCAGTTTTCAAAGGGAATTCTTCCAGTTTTTGCCCATTCAGTATGATATTGGCTGTGGTTTTGCCATAAATAGCTCTTATTATTTTGAGATATGGTCCATCAATACCTAGATTATTGAGAGTTTTTCACATGAAGGGATGTTGAATTTTATTGAAGGCCTTTTCTTCATCTATTATCATGTGGTTTTTGTCATTGGTTCTGTTTATATGATGGATTACGTGTATTGATTTATGTATGCTGAACAAGCCTTGCATCCCAGGGATGAAGCCAACTTGATTGCTGTGGATAAGCTTTTTGATGTGCTGCTAGATTCAGTTTGCCAGTATTTTTTTTTTTTTTGAGGATTTTTGCATCAATGTTCATCAGGGATATTGGCCTGAACTTTTCTTTTTTTGTTGTGTCTCTGCCAGGTCTTGGTGTCAGGATGATGCTGGCCTATAAAATGATTTAGGGAGTATTCCCTCCTTTTCAATTGTTTGAAATAGTTTCTGAAGGAATGGTACCAGCTGCTCTTTGTACATCTGGTAGAATTTGGCATGAATTCATCTGTCCTGGGCTTTTTTTGGTTGGTAGGCTATTTGTTACTGCCTCAGTTTCAGAACTTGTTATTGGTCTATTCAGGGATTTGATTTCTCCCAGGTTTAGTCTTGGGAGGGTGTATGTGTCCAAGAATTTATCCATTTCTTCTAGATTTTCTAGTTTGTTTGCATAGAGGTGTTTATAGTATTCTCTAATGGTAGTTTGTATTTCTGTAGAGTCAATGGTGATATCCCCTTTATCATTTTTTATTGTGTCTATTTGATTCTTCTCTCTTTTCTTCTTTATTAGTCTGGCTAGCATCTATCTATTTTATTATTTTTTTCAAAAAACCATCTCCAGAATTCATTGATTTCTTTGAAGGGATTTTGTGTCTCTATCTCCTTCAGTTCTACTCTGATTTTAGTGATTTCTTGTCTTCTGCTAGCTTTTGGGTTTTGTTTGCTCTTGCTTCTCTAGTTCTTTTAATCGTGATGTTAGGGTGACAATTTGAGATCTTTCTAGCTTTCTGATGTGGGCATTTAGTGCTACCAGTTTCCTTCTTAACACTGCTTTAGCTGCATCCCAGAGATTCTGGTATATTGCCTCTTTGTTCTCACTGGTTTCAAGGAACTTCTTGATTTCTGCCTTAATTTCATTATTTACCCCATAGTCATTCAGGGGCAGGTTGTTCAATTTCCATGTAGTTGTGTGGTTTTGAGTGAGTTTCTTAATCCTGGGTCTAATTTGATTGCACTGTGGTCTGAGAGGCTGTTCATTATTATTTCAGTTATTTTGCATTTGCTGAGGAGTGTTTTACTCCTAGTTATGTGGTCAATTTTAGAGTAAGTTCTATATGGCACTGAGAAGAAAGTATATTCTGTTGTTTTGGGGTGGAGGGTTCTGTAGATATTTATTAGGTTCATTTTATCCAGAGACTAGTTCAAGTCCTGAATATCCTTTCTGTGTCATTGATTTGTCTAATATTGATAGTGGGGTGTTAGTCTCCCAATATTATTGTGGGGAGTCTAAGTCTCTTTGTTGATCTCTAAGAACTTGTTTTATGAATCTGGGTGGTCCTGTATTGGGTGCATATATATTTAGGATAGTTAGCTCTTCTTGTTGAATTGATCCTTTAATCATTACGTATTGCCCTTCTTTGTCTTTTTTCATCTTTGTTGGCTTAAAGTCTGTTTTGTCAGAGTCTAGGATTGCAAACCCTGCTTTCTTCTGCTTTCCATTTGCTTGGTAAATCTTCCATCCCTTTATTTTGAGCTTGTGTGTCTTTGCACATGAGATTGGTCTCTTGAATATAGCACACTGATGGGTCTTGACTCTTTATTCAATTTGCCTGTCTGTGTCTTTTAATTGGAGCATTTAGCCCATTTACATTTAAGGTTAGTATTGTTATGTGTGAATTTGATCCTGTTATCACAATGTTAGCTGGTTATTTTGCACACTAGTTGATGCTGTTTCTTCATAGCATCATTAGTCTTCATATTTTCATGTGTTTTGCAGTAGCTGGTACCAGTTTTTCCTTTCCATATTTAGTGCTTCCTTCGGGAGCTCTTGCAAGGCGCCCTGGTGGTGACAAATTTCCTCAGCATTTGCTTGTCTGTAAAGGATTTTATTTCTCCTTCACTTATGAAGCTTAGTTTGGCTGGATATGAAATTCTGGGTTAAAAATTCTTTTCTTTAAGAATGTTGAATATTGGTCCCCACTCTCTTCTGGCTTGTAGGGTTTTTGCTGAGAGATCCGCTGTTAGTCTGATGGGCTTCCCTTTGTAGGTAACCTGGCCTTTTTCTGTAGCTGCCCTTGATACTTTTTCCTTCATTTCAACCTTGGAGAATCTGATGATTATGTGTCTTGGGGTTGATCTTCTCATGGAGTACCTTAGTGGGGTTCTCTGTATTTCCTGAATTTGAATGTTGGCCTGTCTTGCTAGGTTGGGGAAGTTCTCTTGGATAATATCCTGAAGTGTGTTTTCCAAGCTGGTTCCATCCTCCCATCTCTTTTAGGTACTCCAATCCATCATAGGTTCAGTCTTTTTACATAGTCCCATATTTCTCAGAGGTTCTGTTCATTCCTTTTCATTCTTTTTTTGCTAATCTTGTCTGCCTACCTTATTTCAGCAAGATAGTCTTCCATCTCTGATATTCTTTCTTCTGCTTGATCAATTTGGCTATTGATACTTGTGTATGCTTCTCAAAGTTCTCATGCTGCATTTTTCAGCCCCATCAGGTCATTTATGTTCCTCCCTAAACTGGTTATTCTAGTTAGCAGCTCCTCTAATCTTTTGTCAAGGTTCTTAGCTTCTTTGCAGTAGGTTAGAACATGCTCCTTTAGCTCAGTGAGGTTTTTTGTTACCCACCTTCTGAAACCTACTTCTGTCAATTCGTCTATCTCATCCTCCATCCAGTTCTGTGCCCTTGCTGGAGAGGTGTCACGGTCATTTGGAGGAGAAGAGGCACTCTGGCCTTTTGGGTTTTCAGCATTTTTCTCTGATTCTTTCTCATCTTCATGAGTTTGTCTAGTTTCAATCTTTGAGGCTGCTGACCCATGGATGAAGTTTTTGTTAGGACTTTTTTTGTTGATGCTGTTGTTGTTGCTTTCTGTTTGTTTTTCTTTCAATACTCAGGTCCCTCTTCTGTAAGACTGCTGCTGCTTGCTGGGGGTTCACTTCAGGCCCTAATTATCTGGTTTGCTCCTGCCTCTGGAGACGTTACTCAAGGAGGCTGGAGCACAGCAAAGATGAGTGCCTCCTCCTTTCTCTGGGATCTCTGACCTCAAGGGGCACCAACCTGATGCCGGTAAGAACACGCCTGTATAGGGTGTCTGACAACCCCTATTATGGGGGTTTCACCCAGTCGGGTGGCACAGGAAGCAGGATCCATTTAACAAGGCACTTTGGCTGTCCTATGGTGGAGGGGGTGCACTGCGCTGGGGAAACCCACTTGTCTGGGCTGCCCGGACTCCTCAGAGCTAGCAGGAGGAAAGAGTAAGTCTGTTGGCTCACCGAGACTACGGCTACCTCTCCCTCTAGGAACTCATGCCCAGGGAGATGAGAGTTCTGTCCCTGAGCCCCCGGCTGGAGTTCAAGTTCCTGCACGGAGGCCACGCAGCTGAAGTATTGGCTGCCACTCATCCTCCGAGAATCTTACACAGCCACAGCAGTGATTATGACCGCCCCTCCCCCTGGAAATGTGGCAGACTTAGGCCGATTCTAGTCGAGTGGGTGTTGAAAATCTATGTGGCTCCATGGTTGGGGCCCAAGGTCCCGGTGTCATGGTCTCCTGAGTGGGATCTTCTGATCTGTTGGTTGCACAGTTCCATGGGAAAAGCACGGTTTCCCAGGCTGGGTAGCACGCTCAGTCACTGCCTCCCTTGGCTGGGGGTGGGGGCTCCCCTACTCCTGTGGCTCTCAGGTGGGCCGCTGCACCACACTACTCTTCCTCTCGGTAGGTCATGTCAGCCACCTAGTCAGTCCTAATGACAGAACCTGGATACCTCGGTTGCTAGCGCAGGATTCACATGCTGTTTTGGATCTTTTGGATGGAAGCCTTCAATCACAACTGCTTCTAGTCGGCCATCTTGGCCCCCGCCCCTCAGGTTAATGTTATTTTGCAAGTTTACTCTTCCTTTTCTAAAACAAACACAAAACCAACACAAAGAAATATAAATAAGAAAGCAGGTGGTGATTAAGAATGAACCATTACCTAAGAATGAATCTATTTCATTTCTTATCAATGATCAAGTAAACAGATCATTGATAAGAAATGAAATAGAGTTTTATTAGGTAATAAATCCTAATAAAGAGTTATCATTAGGTCTAGAATTTCCTTTTTCCATTTATTTTAATCATCACTATTTGAGTATTGAAGAAAGAACTAGAGCTTAGTGTTAGAATTTATTTCTTGCTATTTGGGGAAGTCTTCTAATAATAGCATTGTTTTAGTCCTTAATAGCCATGGAGACTGCAACTTTTTTAGATTTATGGCATTGTTGTTAAGATAAACATGGAAAAATTTGCATGTGTTCTGTAACTAACTTGTAGAGATGGTTGTGGCCAAAAACTATGAAACCTAAGGTGACAGAGACCTAGCAAACTAAGGACTCAGCCTGGATGGCTTAAACAGCAGAAATATATTTTCTCACAGTTCTTTAGACTAGACATCTGAGATCAAAGTGTTGGCAAGGCAGATATTTTGCCCCGGTTTATTCAGCCCTTTATTTATTATAACATATTTATATGTGAGATGTCTCTAAACTGGTGATAGATTTACTGAATAACTGCCCACACTGGTTCCTTATTCCTATTGGAATTAGCCCTTTGTATTTTTCCTAGAGGATGACTTCTGTCCTTTTCTCACTGGTTTTCAGTCCCTTGTGGTTCAAGTTGGGCTTAAGTGATCTGGGGGCTCAGCCTGAATTTGACTAAAAATACTGTAGTATAAACTCAGAACAGTCTGAAAAATTTCTTTCTTTCTTTCTTTCCTTCTTTCTTTCCTTCTTTCTTTCTTTCTTTCTTTTTCTTTCTTTTTTTTTTTTATAGGATCTTGCTCTGTTGCCCAGGCTGGATGCAGAGGCATGATCATATTTCACTGCAGCCTCAACCTCCCAGACTCAAGCAATCTTCCCACCTCAGCCTCCTGAGTAATTAGAACCACAGGCATGCACTATCATGCCCAGTTGAATTTTTATTATTATTTTTTTGCAGGGACAGGGGTCTTGCTATGTTGCCCAAGCTGATCTTGAACTCCTGGGTTCAAGTGATCCTCTCGCCTTGACCTCCCAGAGTTGTGTGATTTATCTTGCCAGGTCACTAATCTTCAATCTACTAGAATTGCCTCTTGGGCTGCCTTTAAGTTTACATGGATATCTAGAAGTTAACCTTCAAGTTTCTCATAGTTTGCAATTATTTTTTAAATGGCATAACTAAACTTCAAACCTGTATCTAAATACTTTGTGTTTTCAAGACCTTGAAATTTTAAAGTTTTTTTTTCTGTCTACCTCCTTTCTCAACCACACACACACACACAGAGCCCCTCTATATTTCCCCTCTCTCTTTCTGTTTCAATCTCTCTTCTCAGTTTGGAGACCCTAAAATAGTTTGTAGAGAGAGAAATTCTGAAGTGCAGATATTTTAGCAGGCCTCTATGATTGACATATCTCTCATTACATTCAGAACCCACCCACCAGTGTGTCACTGATCCAATTTTGTTTTCTGCTTCCCTCATTTCTGTTCTCTTGCTCTTCAGTCTTATTTTTAAAATGCTTTTTAAAAGAACTCATATTTCTTATTTCAGACAATTGCTATTTCACTTACTGACTCCAATATGTAATTAAAATAAATAAAGAGAAAAATAAACGTCCTCACAAGCCTGTGTAGGATAGAGACCAGTATTAGAATGTTGGAAATTGATGGGGTGAAGGGTTAGAGGTGGGGTTTGAGCTCTGTTTGATTTTACCTTTTTATTTTCATAAGAGTGATCTGACTTAAATACAACAATATATGATATTACTTAAATTTATGTGCCTACTATATCTTCACTTTCTCTATATTTGAGATCTTCAGAGTAGGAGAGTTCAGTTGTCTTCTCCATTCTGTTTCCTTGACTTGGAGCGTCTCTAAAAACTTATCCATCTATATTGGCAACTGGAGCACCATTCAGTGTTGCTACTGGACTGAATGAGTGGCCAGTCTGTTTGGGCTTTCCTGCAACTTGCACTTTTTTTTTTCCTTTTGGTCATCAATAATTCTGCCAATTATAACGTTTTGTTTTTTAAATAGAGAGTGATGAATTTACCAGCAGGAACCTGGTGGTATTCGTGAAGGCAAACATGAGGATGAGGCAATTATGTTTTATAGAGTCAAGACTGGCCACCAACAGTTATCTTCAGTTCTTAGGGTGAATCATGAAGTTTTTCTAACATTGATTCAAGAATAAATTTGATTTGTTACACAATATTTGAAGTGCAAACTGCTAGCATGAAGTTCATTCCACAAAAAAGAAAAAAAAAAAACATTTCTCACTCCAGCTACCTACAGAAACCCTGTCTTTGTGGCTTTAAATGGAACTTTCCTTGCAGTCTTTGGTTTTTTCCCCCTGTTCTTTGACATTCCACTCTCAATGGCCCTCCATGGAGGTTATTTTACATAATACCTCTCTTCTTCCCTAATGGCTATGATTATTTTTGCCTTAATATATGGCTGCAATTTGTTGCTAACTTATTTATACCCAAAGAACAAGAAATCTGTGAATATGATGTCAATAATTAAAGAAGAGGTTTCTTTTTCAGATTTTTACTTTAATAAATCAGGCATCTAGTTGATTAGCAGACGACTGGTTGAAAATTGCTCTAGGCTTTACAACTTGGGTTTAGTACACTAAACTTTAACTGGCTGGTTTTTTTTATTATTATTTCATAATTCTGGGTAGATAGTAGGTACCCATTAAATATTGGTTAAGTGATAGATACAATTTCATAAATGTATGTATTCCTTTCTAAGCAATCACTGATATTTCTTTAACTTTTTGACTAAGATTATGTTGAACATAAATGTCATCTAAGTATGTTTTACATATAAAATTTAATTTTAAATTTCTTCTATATTCAAAGTTTCAAATATGATTAAAACAGAAGTACTAATAGAAAGCAAACAAAATCTCAAAATAGAATTTAAAATTTTGTTCATGAATAATTTTAAGTTGTATAAATGTCATACTAAGTGTTAAAAATCAACGAGTAATCATGTAGTATTTACTTACCTGGAAGTTTTCAATTATTATTTCAATGGTTGTTCTAAAAGAAAAGTTTCTTTTTATTGGGAAATCCGAAGATAAAATATGAAGAAAATGTGTACTTTTAAATAGCTTTTTTTGAGGAAGCATAAAATAAAAAACTCATACAGATTTCATAATTGCATTTTAATATATATCCCCAGCTGGGATTAAATGTTATATTCTCTGAATCAGTCCCCTTGGGATTCAGGCAATAGAAATTACAGTAAAGACTTTAATTTTCTTTTCTTTTAATGGAGCATGGGATGTGGAAATTGAAATAAAAGCTTTCCTTCAAAACCCTTGAAGCATGAAGCTATAATAGAATCCGATCTTACTTACTGAAGACTGTCTCAATGCCGATTTATAGGAGATTACATTCATTCACTTTACAAAATTATGACTTTAATGAGCTTGAGCTTTTCAAGAACTTTTTAAAATCTATGTCTATTTGAATGGAAAACTTGTCACATAATTGCTATTTCACTATGTAGCTTCTTAACATTCTTAGTGCAGGTTGAATATTCCTTATCTGAAATGCTTGGGACCAGAATTGTTTGCGATTTTTGATATTTTTCAGATTTTTAAATATTTGCATGTACATAATGAGATAACTTGGGGATGGTACCCAAATTGAACTACAAAAAGCATTTATGTTTCATATATATCTCACACGTATAGCCTGAAGGTTATTTTACATAGTACTTTCAACAATTTTGTGCGTGAAACAAAGCTTTGACTGCATTTTGACCATGACTTGTCCAGAGGTAAGGTGTGGAATTTTCCACTTGTGGCATCATGTTGAACTCAAAAAGCTTTCCATTTTTAAGTATTTTAGATTTTCAGATTAGGGATGCTCAACCTGTAGTGTGAGTAATTGACATTATGCTGCCCTGTTTATGAAGGGTAGTCCTCTCCAAGCGCTCTTCCAATTTCACGCATACATGCTAGCTCATATCACCATGTCTCATGTATCTAAAATATGCCTCTCAATGAGCCAAAGCACAGTCATATTTATTTTGCTTTTTCTATTGCATTTTAAAACTATGAAATACTAGGAAACTTAAATATAGAAATAAATATAACACTTGGGAGGCTGAGGCAGGGGAATCAATTGAACCTGGGAATTTGCAGTGAGCCAAGATTGCACCACTGTACTCCAGCCTGGGCGACAGAGCGAGACTACATCTCAAAAAAAGAAAAAAAAAAAAAAGAAAAAGAAAGAAAAAGAAAGGAAAGAAAGAAAGAAAGAAGGAAAGAAAAAGAAAGAAAGAAAAGAAAGAAAATATTTGTAAACTCACCACTTAGTTACAAAAAAAACTAAACATTTAGAAATATTTGCTTCAGACCATGCTTTTAGATTGTCATGTATGTTTTTGTGATTTACTATGTAGATATATCACCAAAAGCAATATGTATGACAGTTTTTCAAGTTTTGAAACTTTATATAAGAGATTAATGCTGTTTATACCTTGCTGTGACCTGATTTTTTTAAAATGTCTATCTGATAGATAGGACTCCAGTTCATTCATTCCCATTTTGTAATATTGCATTCATATTAAAGCACAGATTACTGAACGTATTTTTCTACTGATAGACATTCAGGTAATTTATAATTTTATAGTTAAATCAATACCATTACAAAAACTATTTTTAGATGTCTGCTTTGCATATGTCAGAGTGGTTTTTTGTGGGGAGGAGTGGAGACACACATACACACACACATATCTTCATCTTTATTAAATATTGTCAAATAATTTCCAAAGTAATCATAATAATTTCAATTCCAAGCAGCAACTTGGGAGATTTACTATTTTTAAATAGTCTTACTAACATTCCATACTGACAGATTTAAAATCTTGCTAATTTGAAGACTAGTGCCTTTATATTACTTTCACTTATTTGCATTGGCCTGATTACTTATGATTTTGAGAATCATTTTGTGTGTGTGTGTGTTTTATATATACATCTTAGACAACAAAGTTTTTTCTTCTTTTAGAGATGGGGGTCTCACTCTGTCACTGGAGTGCAGTGGTGCAATCATAGTTCATTACAGCCCCTGAACTCCTGTGCTCAAGCAAACCTCCCGCCTCAGCCTCTCAAGTAGCTGGTGCTACAGAACGCACCACTACATCCAACTAATTTTTTTTTAACTGTAAAGATGGGGGTCTCACTTCATTACCCAGTTTCCAAGTACTTATTTATATGAATTACACCTATTCAGAACTTTGTCCAGTTTATGGGGTGTTTTGGGTATTTTATGTATTCCTTATATATTCAATGTACAAGTCTTTCATTTTTATGCTTGCAATTATTTTTTCACTTTTTTTCACCTTGCTGATAATTTAATGTTCTAGATACTTTTATTCCAATGCTATCAAAGTTATTAATATTTTCCATTAATCTTTGTGCTTTTGTGAGTTGTCCAAGAAATCTTTCCTTAATCCAATATCATATTAATATTATCTTATTTTTTCTTCTAAAAGATTTAAAGTTTAGCTTTTTACTTTCATATGCTAAATTCACTTTGAATTGATTTTTTTACATTGTGTGAAGTAATGTTTTAATTTATATTTTTTACATACAGAAATATTGTCCCAGTATCATTTATTTAAAAGCTTTCAATGACTATTCATGCCATGCTTGCCATACACCAAGTGACATCTATTATTCCATGTATGGATCTGTTTCTGAATTTTCAAAAAGTAGTTTCTGGCCAGGCGCAGTGGCTCACGCCTGTAATCCCAGCACTTTGGGAGGCTGAGGCGGGCAGATCACCTGAGTTCAGGAGTTCAAGACCAGCCTGGCCAACATGGTGAAACCCTGTCTCTACTAACAATACAAAAAATTAGCGGGGCATGGTGGCAGGCGCCTGTAATCCCAGCTACTCAGGAGGCTGAGGCAGGAGAATCGCTTGAACTTGGCAGGCGGAGGTTGCAGTGAGCCAAGATCGCGCCATTGCACTCCAGCTTAGGAGACAAGAACGAGATATCGTCTTAAAAAAAAAAAAAAGTAGTTTCTATCAGCTAAGGTCCTTAATATGCCTGAAAATTAATAATTTTAATTAATAAAATTAATAATTAATTTACTTTCATATTGCTGATTTGTGGCTGTATTACTTGGATTGCTTTCTTCATGTGTTTCTCAGTTCTGGCTTTTTCTGTTTCTGGCCCATTTCGTTCAATTTAATTCTGAATTCAATTAAGGCTACTTAATGTTTTCATTCATTACAATGAGTCAGGACTCTTATATTCACTGTTGGAACTCACATTATGATAACTGAAGGCTGACCCCCAGATGAGCACTGTCCTCTCTTAACCCCAGCTCTTTCTGCAAGAACATCCAAAAAATCTCCAGAAACTCCTGAGTGATTTCCTGCCCATCCTCCCTGTCTCATTTCTATGTGATTGCTGCAACTGGACATTCTTCTTGTGGTATCAGTGCTTTGCTTGACATGCTCTTTGCTGATGACTGCCATCACCATCACCACTCTTTTCCTGGGGAGAAGGACAAAAAAAAACACTGTGCTCTCTTTAGTGAGCGTGCTTAATTTCTCACTGCACAGCAAAGACTAATTAGTCATGATTAATGAAACTCTTTTAAAGTTTCTGTGATAAAGAAAGAAACCTTCACACACCTATGACCATGGCTTGGGGTCTCTTTCCAGGTTACTTCTATGCCTCATTCTGGCCCTGACTCTGTAAGGCAAGGGCTGGCTTATTCTCCACCATAGAGTGTGCTCTGCTTATCTCCATGGAATCCAAGATAAGAGCTCCTACTGCAACGAAGAGGGAAATTTGCAACCTTAGGCTTGTCCCTTAAATCTTTTTTGCTCCTTCTTTGAGTTTCCTTCAAGATGATTGACCTTTGGTACATCCACGGCAATTGAGATTTTATTAGTTTCCTATTGTCGTTAACAAATGCCACAAACTTAGTGGCTTAAAACAATAGGAATGCATTTTTACAGTTCTGGTGGTCAGAAAGCCAAAACAGGTCTCAATGGACTAAAACATAGGTGTTGGCGGGGCTGCATTTCTTCTGGTGGCTCCAACAGAGAATCTATTTCCTTGCCTTTTTCAGCTTCTAGAGTCTGCCCACAGACCTTGACTTTCAGTCCCTTCCTCCATTTTCAAAGCCAGCAAAGGCTGGTTGAATCTTTCTCCCTTTGCCTCACTCCAACATTGCTTCCATTGCCACATCTTCTCAGGCTCTTCTGCCTCCCTCTTCTACATTAAAAGGTCTTTGTGATTTCATTGGATCTACTCTAATAATCCAGGATAACTCGCCTTATTTTAGGGTCAGCTGATTAGCAAACTTAATTCCATTTGGAACCTTAATTCCCCCTTGCCATGCAACATGACATAGTCCCAGGGTCTGGAGATTAGGACATGGACCTCTTGGGGAGCCATTGTGCCTACCACAGTAATAAATCCTTCTGTGCCCGGGGTTGTTATTGTTCCAAAAGCCACCAGAATATAAGAGTTTAGTATCAATACATTCACTAAATGCCAGGTTATTTTTCTTAAATATCTTTACATGTGAGACATCCCTACCTCTGTCTAGGTTGGGCTACATAAACTTCAGTCTAATTCCTATAGCACATGGTCATAAGATGAAAGGAACATCATCAGGTTTTCATCCCTTGCTTTCAGATTTCAGGGTCTCCTTGTCCATCACCTATAGGCAGCTATTTAAGCAAGGGCACACACACGTGTTTCCTAAGTGAAAGAGTCAATATTCAAGTAAAAAAATCAAGACTCACTGTTGGGAAAAAAATTTACCTTTATCAGAAATTTGCAGAGACATCAGGGAAGATTTGCAGAGACACAATTCCTAACAAAACACCCAATTTTCAATGCTAAACTACACAAATAGCCATCTGTCTGTAGTATTATGTTTGATTTAATTCCTTGCATTCAGCTCTTCTCTAAGGACATGAATGGTTACTTGGATACATACACATTCTAAAATGTCCACTTCCAATGTTATATTTTTTATAAAACAATGGGAAAATCTGCTCCAAAATTAATTGTGTCTTCATTTTAGAAGATAGATAACAACTTGCAGCATTAATTTCCAATGTTTTAGTTTTAAAAATTATTGAGGTTCTATTTTACAGAGTACCCATTGCATGTAATAGTTTAGTACCTATAACTTTGATATCCATGTATGAATGGATTTTCTAAGATTTTCTAAATATTAAAATATTTGCTTTTGTTGTCTATGTTCAGAGTTTAGGCTCTTAAAATGTTATCTATTTCTATCTTACCATACACTCCTGTATCTTAAATATTGCTGAAAGAATTTGCCAATTAGTTAAGACAATTTCTGCCATTAATTTTTTCCAAACACCTGTTTAATTTCTTCTGAGGTATCTAAGTTTCTGCCACATCCTACAATATTTCTTTCTTATTTTCAACGTCTAGTCAAGCAAATGTATTTATCTCATTTAAGGCATTTATGTCCTTAATGACTAGCCCAGGGTATTATCTTCTGTCATATTAAAACTAATATTGGAGCCTCTCCCTAATGAGGCCAAGAATACATTTGATCTATCTACCATTTGTCTTTCTCTTTTTCTCCCATGTATTACAAATTATAGAGAACAATTTATCTTAGTTGTCTAAAAATATAATCCCATAGAGGCAAGGATTGAATCTTTCTTGCATTCTATAACTTTCAAACAATTGAGTATAGAAAATGTTGAAGTGCTTAATTAACAAATGAATCAAGGCACTACCATTTCTTTCTTAAATGTCACATATTTTTACCCAGCTAAAAATATTTTTCTGTGTTCTTGGCATTTTGCATGTGACATGGCATATGCTCTGAAAGTAACAATAGAATTACAACAGACCCCTCAACTGCTATTTTGAGTAAACTATTTTGTCATTGTAAATTCTTTTGTTAAAATGCAAGAGAAGATAATTATTCCTTTTTTCTTTATGCCATTGTGAATAAAAATGCAGTGTACTTACAATAGAAAAATTATCATTGAACTGTCTAATGAGGTTGATATGGAGTCATTTTAGTAATACATTAATACTCTTGGGGCCACTTCATATTTTTTTACCCATGCTATTTCTGCCTCAATAACTTAAACATTGCTACTCTGATCAAAATCCGTTCATCAGGCTTTTCTTTTAAGGGACACAAGTACATAATCACTTCCTTTTCTGTTTAAATAGAGATCGGGCAATGCTGATATATCAGGATAACAGATTCCCTAAGCTGCCATTAAAAAGCCTAGCTCTATGGAATCAGACCTAGGAACAAGAGGTAACATTTGCCCAGAGAATTTGCAAGATTAAAACCCAGGTTCCTCAAATATTTTAATATCTCAGTTGCAAATTAAGTAAAAATCAAACAATTAAAAGAGATCAACTTCATTTGTATGTAATGCCAAATAAATGCCTGGATTACTTTTCCTCCCATAAAATTAATGGGTTGGTTAATTAGTTAGTAGATTATTTGCCAAACTGTAGAAACAGAATATAATTGAACTACAAATTAAGATTATAGAAATAAGAAAAGTAAAGAGAAAATGAAGTGAAAAAATTAAGTAGGTAATTATGCATATTAAAATTCTGATGGAAAAGCAGTGTTTTGTATCTGAATCCTGAGAATGCCTCAATATCAATATAGTTTATAATAAAAATTCTCTGTTTCTATTTTATACAACTTTTCATACTTCATCTAATTTTTCTTTTTTTTTTTTTTTTTTTTTTTTTTTGAGACGGAGTCTCGCTCTGTCGCCCAGGCTGGAGTGCAGTGGCGCGACCTCGGCTCACTGCAAGCTCCGCCTCCCGGGTTCACGCCATTCTCCTGCCTCAGCCTCCCGAGTAGCCGGGACCACAGGCGCCCGCCACCACGCCCGGCTAATTTTTTGTATTTTTAGTAGAGGCGGGGTTTCACCGCGTTAGCCAGGATGGTCTCGATCTCCTGACCTCATGATCCGCCCGCCTCTGCCTCCCAAAGTGCTGGGATTACAGGCGTGAGCCACCGCGCCCGGCCTAATTTTTCTCTTTTTAAGTGACAAAACTAAAAGGGAGAATCAATAATTCCCATTTTCTACATTTCAGAATTATGCATTTTTATCCTTGGATTTCTGTATGTCTTCTACCTAAAGCATTACACACACAATTATGTTTCTTTGTATAGTAACTTTTGTGGGCTTATTTCATTTTTAAAATCCATGCAACCATTTCACTCTACCCCATAACTTATCTATATTTGTATTTCTATGAAAACACTGTGTTCTCCTCAAACCGTGAGTAAAACTGATTCTCAAAGAGACACTCCAGGTTTATGCTGTGGTCCTGCTCTCCACCTTTACAACCTAGGGCAAGTGTGATCCTCACTGGGCTCTTTCTCAGCAGAACCCTCAACAAAGGAGTCTCTTTTCTCACTCAGGGACAGCAGCAGACCAGGTGGACCTGCTAAGGGTTGACTTCCTCTGAAAAATGGAGCCATCACAACTGAGGAAGCTGTGATGAAAGTTTGCTGCTTTCTTTGTGGATAGCTAATTGATAGTTAAATTTTTATCTCATAAACAAAACAAATTCTTTCTTCAGCTTTATTGTGGTATAATTGAGAATTAAAACTGTACACTTTTAAAGTGTACATGTTGATGTGATACACGTATACACTGCAAAATGATTACCACAATTAACTTAATTAACACTTCTATTTCCTCACCTAGTTACCTTTTGTAGGAGGTGGGGCATGAAAACACTTCAGATCTACTCTTTTAGCAAATTTCAAACATACAATATGGTATTATTAACTATGGTCAATCATGCTGTTTATTGGATTTTCAGAATTTATTCATCTTATAACTGAGAGTTTGTTTCCTTTGACCATCATTCTCTCCATTACCCACACCTCTCAGCCCCTGGCAACCACCATTCTAATATCTATTTCTATGAGTTCAACTTCTTTTTCCCTCTGGATTCCACATATAACTGATACCATATAGTATTAGTCTTTCTCTGCCTGGCTTATTTCACTTAGCTTAATGCTTTCCAGGTTCATCCATGTTGTTGCTAATGGCAGGATTTCCTTTTTTCATATCTAAATAATCTATCTGTGGCACATTTTTGAATTCATTTCTTGTGACGCACAGGTTGTTGCCATATCTTGGCTTTTGTGAATAATGCCTCCATGAACGTAGGGCAGTAGCTATTTCTTTGAGATACTAACTGCCCCAACTGTTATTTCTTTGAGATATTTTCTTTGAGATTGCTGGATCATGTGGAAGTTCTATTTTTCATTTTTTGAGTAAGGTCCATACTACTTTCCATAATGGCTGTACTAATTTACATTGCCATCCACAGTTTGCAAGGGTCCCCTTTTCTCTACATTCTCACCTAATTTGTTATCTCTTGTCCTTTTTATAATAGCCATCCTAACAGGTGTGAAGTGATAGCTTATTGTGGTTTTGATGTTCATTTCCCTGATGATTAGTGATGTTGAGTACCTTTTCATATACGTGTTAGCCATTTGCACACCTTTATTTTGGAAAAATGTCTATTCAGAGCTGGGCATGATGGCTCATCCCAGTAATTTTAGCACTTTGGGAGGACAAGGTGGATAGATCACTTAAGCCCAGGAATTCCAGTTTACATGAGCTATGATTGTGCCACTGCACTTCAGCCTTGGCAACAGAGCAAGACCCTGTTGAAAGAGAGAGAGAAACAAGGAAGGAAAGAAGGAAGGAAGGAAGGAAGGAAGGAAGGAAGGAAGGAAGGAAGGAAGGAAGGAAGGAAGGAAGGAAGGAAAGAAGGAAGGAGAAAAATGTCCATTCGTGTCCTTTGCCCTTTTTTAATGGGATTTTTTTTTATTTACTCATCCTTTCAAAAATCTCCTTTCCTAGATTTCTATATCTGAGTCCGTGGAACCACTATTTATGCATTTACTCAAGGCTTAGGATTTATCTCTTTCCATAACACCCACACACACATCCAATCCATCTGCAGATATTGTCACCTCTGCATCCTTCATCCATCTGTTTCTCTGTATCTGTACTGTTACTGCCTAATCCAGGAACCTAAAATGCTTTTCCTCCTCACTTAACTTGGTTCCTTCTCAAATGTCAAATCTTCCTCAGAGATGTCTTCCCTGATCACCCTTTCTGGAGTAGCACCTGCCCCCTCTTCATCCTTTTCTCTTCTTCTACGTTTATTGCTTTTTCTTGATAACTAGCAGCTTCCTAATTCATCTTGTAGTTTCCATCGTTGCCCTTCACAAAACATTGTCTTCTTAGCTTCCTGAGTGATCTTGCACAATATAAAGAATACCATCCAAAACTTTTACTCTGGCCCCGAAGGCCCTATCTGATCAGACCCTCCCTTTCTCTCTGCCCTGATTTCCCACCACCTCTCCCTTATCACTGCACTCCATGCAAACTTGATCTCTTTAGGGTTCTTTTGTTTCTGCCCCTCAGGCTCATACCTGTCCAGCTTTTCCTTTTGCCTTGATTTCTTTTCTCCCTAAAACTTCATAGAGCCCACTCCTTATCCTGGTTTTAGTCTGTCTTAGAGATGTCTTCTCTAAGTCTTCCCTAAGACTGGTGTCCCTAAAATACAAATATATGTATGCCCCAAGTTACTCTGTAACTCATTACATTGTTTTATTTTTATTATAGCCCAAATCCTAATCCAGGTATCTAAATTTTTTGTTTAGTTATTTAATTTCATAGTTTTTGGCACTCCCAAAAGAATATAAGCTTTTCCTGTCTCATTCAACACCATAAGTCCAATGCCTAGAATAGTGTCTGCCATAAAAGAGGGGTTAAATGAACGAATCAATGACCAAATGATCTATGATTCAGTAAAGCAGGAAGAGCATGTCCTTTACAAGATTCAATCATAAGAGTTGAAAACAAAGCAGAGAAAATGGCGTATTACATGAATATATAATATGTTTCTTACATGAAAAATCTGGAAGTATATTAAAAGACCACTGAGCTCCGTCAGAGACTTATGTTCTGGTCACATGATATTAAGAATGTATAAAGTACCTGCATTCCAAAATTACCACATCTTTAGATTTTTCATTTAAACATTGGCATTTAGTCTTGTGGGACTAACTCCATTTTACAGATGAGAAAACTAAGGCTTAGAGATTTGCAGAGACGTAAAACCAGTTGCACAGCTGAGAACTGAACTAAATTAAAAAATATATATATATGATATATATATATATATATAATATATATATGATATATATATATATATATATATATATATATATATATATATATTCCTTCTATTACATTACACACCAATTAGGCTTTGACTCCTGTAGCCATGGGGAAGTCAAGGATGTCTGGGGCCACAGCTTCAGTAACAAAGAGTGAAAACTGACATTAGTTTACAGGATGGTACAAGGTTAATCCATATGACATGCCTGCAGTGCACAGTATATGGCTGCCTATCCTACAAACACAATGAATACAAAGTTTCTTTGAAATCCATAAGATATCAATGCAAAATAATTATTACATTCAAAATAATCAAAATAATATAAGATGAAAACTTCTATATTACCATCGACTTAGAACTGTAATTGAATTTGTTATAAAATCTAGTATAGACACGGATGAAACAAAACAATGTGAAAATGGAAGGGTTAGGTTTTTTCTTTCATGAGTCAGATTGTATGGTACAGACATACAAAAGCATTTTGGCCTTGCAAAAGCCCATAGGTGTCTTATAATTGCCCTCCTACCTTGCATTCTGAGGTGGAATGGGAAGAGCAAACTTGGAGAGCTTTTTGGATGACTTTGAAATAATCCTTGCTTAGGAATGTTTAAAATCCTTTCATAGCATTCCTAATAAATTTGGTAGATATTATGATATTCCATTAAAGATACTTGACTCTGCTGATAACAACAGGGTATGCACCATAGAATTTCACTTCATTCCTTGTTAAGAAGTACACAGAAACAAACTCAGTCAGGCCTAAGAAAATTGATCTCCATTAATAATTTTTATAAATCTTTAACAATGAAAGCAAATGCCATAGTTACAGCCAACATTTCTGGAACATTTAGTAAGTGCCAGGTATTTTATATATACTATTGCCAATATCCTGCCATCCGTGCAAGACAGGTAATATTAGTCATCAAATGATTTCTTTGAGTCCAGGTAGCTAAAAAAATTGGAGAATTACTATTTTAATCCAGCCCTCTCTTATCCCAAAGTCCTACTTTTTCTCTCATTTCACACTATCTTCTTCATTCTTTGATTTATTAAACAAGTATTTGCTTAACACCTATTACGTGGCAGGCACTGTTAGATCTATTCAATAAAGCAACATGGCTGCCCTTGTGGGCTTATAGTTCATCTAGACAGAAAGGACATAAACCAACATATAATGTAGCAAACATAACATTAGTATAATATTAAGTATATGGTTATACCCACTATAAAATAAAAACAAAACAGGAGAAAGAGCTAGAAATGAGTATTTGATAATCAGATCAAAGAAGTGTCCTGACACTAGACAGTTTAGGATCTCACTGGCCACTGGAAGGGCTCTGGATTTGCATATCAAAGGTTCCCTTTAAAAATTGAGAGCTAATAGGCCAAAGAATCTGTTTATGGTTATATGAACATTTCCAATGATATATTCTGCTTTTGACAGAAATATTTAAATAATTAATTTGCCTTTTCTTATTGAAAAGTTTATGGAGAACATTCTGTATATCAGGCATGGGAGACAAAGCTGGGGCTAAAAAGATGAGTAAGACAATAACTTCTCTTAGAGGAAGAAAGTAACAGAGAAATTCATTTATGAATTTCATTCAAAACATGAGATTCATTCAAAAACATCTCATGAGGTCCCATTATGCTCCAAATCCAAATACTATGTGGGACATTGGAAATACATCATGAGAAGGCATCACATTAGGAGAAAGGAGTCTGAAGGGGCACAGAAAACTTTCCTCAGAGGAGGAGACATAGGAAGTTGCCTTCAAGCATGAGTAAGAGTTTGCCACACAATGACTGGAAAGGTCAGCTAAGTAGAGGAGATGGCAAATAGAAGAAAGGGGAATTACACGGGGCATTGCTACTCAAGAACAATAAGAAGACCTGGCAGGGTACAAGCAGGGCAGTGACAGGAAATAAGGCCAGAATAGCGGGTGGGGCTGGACTCTGAAAGTTACGATTTTTAAAGCATGCACACAGTCCAGAGACTGTGATAAGGGAACACTTTTAGTCTCCATGTCTCATGTTTCCCTGCGGAGGAACTTAACATTCTCTCACTCCACCCTGCTCACACTCCTCTCCAGAAGAGAAGGCTACAGGAAGATAGATTTGGGGAAGGAACTGAGCATGCGCAGCTCAAACACACATCTCATTTACAGGTAAAGCTCACAGGATCATGTTCTGTCTGCCCCTATTGCCAGTGACTGGGTGGTAAAGCCTAATTCAGAGGTGAGCTATTAGAAAGACCATTTACCCTGAATCTAAAGTTAAATTCTTCAGTCAGCCTTATTAGGAATAAAACGTGACTTTTCTGTGTCCTTCAGTCTGTCTGACTTGTGCATATCTTCTCTCCCCATTGGTTCTTGACTTAGAAGGGAAAGGTTCCCGACTTATTGGCTTTCCTAAAACTCAATCACACCTGTGGAAGGCAGAATAAATGGCCCCCAAAGATGGGGGAGTATTTACATCCTAATCCCCTGATGTTTACATCCTAATCCTCTGAACCTGTGAATATGTTACCTTATGTGGAAAAGGGAACCCTGCAGATGTGATTAAGATTGAGAATTTTGAGATGGGGAGATTACCCTAGATTATCTTTGATTACCCCAATCTACTCATAGGAATCTTTAAAAGCTGAGAGTCTTTCCTGGTTAAGTCAAACAGAGATGCAACAATAAACGAATGATCAGAGAGATGCAGCATGGGAAAGATTCAATCAACCATTGCTGGCTTGGAAGATGGAGTAAGGGAGCCACAAACTAAGGAATTGGGCAGCCTCTGGATGCAGAGAACAGTCCCTTGACCAATAGTCAGTAAGGAAATGAGGACCTTGGCCCTACCACCACAGGGAACTGAATTCTGCCAACAACCTGAATGAGCAAGAAATGTATTCTCCCATAGATTCTCCAGGAAGGAATGTAGCCTGGCTAACACCTTGATTTTAGCTCAGTGTAGTTTTAACCTACTGAATTTGAGGTAATTTGTTATGGCAGCTATAGAAAATTAATACAACAATACAAGGAGCCAATGGAGGCTTTAACCCAAGAGGGATGACATGCTCAGATGGAGATAGCAATTACAGTGACCAATAGCATCTGAGTTGGGAAATGTTTGTGAGAGCAAGTAGAGAGCATTTGGTGATGAGATGCAGAGCTAGATGAAGGAGCTAGGTCAGTTTAGGGATTGAGTGGATGTTTATACCATTACCCAAGACTGAGACCTGTGAAAGAGAAACGGATTTGCAAGAGCAAATCCTAAACTCGATTATGACATGCTAAAATTGAGGTATGGTATATAAGGCCTCTAAGACATTCTGGTGAAGGTTTTAAACAAATTGTTGGAAACAAGTGCCTGAAAGAAAGCAGAGACATTGTATAGATCATAGTGGGTAAGACAATGCAAAGTGAGAAAGATAACTGCCTATCTAGTCATGATTGGATCATGAAAAAATTATTTTAAGCAATTTGTTTATTTTTTTTTTTTTTTTGCTACTATACCAGGCATCTACAGCTCTACATAAGGAAAATGTCACCAGGGTAAATTTTGTAAATAAATAGATATTTTTCTAGAAGTCACTACAGGAGTCTGTTCAGTTTCATGCCATATCCTAGATATAGCCTCCCATTTTTGTTTTTTATCAACACTGTAGTTTTAGACCTTGAAGTCACCAGTAAGAAATTTAAGATTTTTCACAGATAATCCCACCACGTGCCACACCTAGAATCACACATTTTACACTGGTTTTGAATCAGGTAAGCACTTAACCAGATCATTCTCTTCATCTTTTGATTATCCTTCTACTCTGCATTTCTCTTATGAATTCATACCAAAGGAAACATTGCTAAGTAATTTTCTCATAGCTTAAAAAGTGTTGCCCATGAAACTGCAGTTAAAACCTTACCTTATGTCTTAACTCCTATTGTTCTTAGAAAGTCAGTTTAGATAACATTTTCTTTCTAAAGTTGAAAATTATCTTCATTTGTTCTTTATGAGACCTCAGCTAGCTTCATATAACCAAAAACGTCAAGACTTCTTACTTACTTCTGAGTTTCATGATAAGACACTTTATGATCAGGAGTTCTTAGGCAAGGACAGAACTTCAGATTGGTCAGATAACTTATTTTACATAGCTGGATTTACATAAATGGCTCAAGACACCTGCCTTCCTAAAAACAAATAAAATTTTGAAAGTTTTTTAAAAAATGTTTATGTTGAAATAATTATAAACTCCCAGGAAATTACAAAAATAGTACAGAAAGATTCCTATACCCATTTGTTAGCTTCCCCTCATGGGAACATTTTATGTAACTATAATGCATTATCAAAACCACAAAATTAGCCGGGGTTGGTGGCGCACGCCTGTAATCCCAGCACTCTGGGAAGCCGAGGTGGGTGGATCACCTGAGGTCAGGAGTTCAAGACCAGCATGGCCAACATGGTGAAACCCCATCTCTACTAAAAATACAAAAATTAGCCGGGCGTGGTGGCACACACCTGTAATCCCAGCTACACGGGAGGCTGAGGCAGGAGAATTGTTCCAACCCGGGAGGCAGAAGTTGCAGTGAGCCACGATCGCGCCACTGCACTCCATCCTGGGCAACAAAGTGAGACTCCGTCTCAAAAACACACACACACACACACACACACACACACACACACACACACACACACACACACAAAATTGACATTGGCATAATACAATTAACTGGACTATAGATCTTATGTTGATTTTAGAGGGTTTTGTATATACCCTTCCCCTTTTTTTGTATACATGTGAGTGTAGTTCTGTGAAATTTTATTTCATATATAGATTCATATGAGCACTATCACAATTGAGACATGGAACTATTCTGTACTCTTTACAGTTTCACCTCCCCCTTCACCAATGCTTTTAACCACTGATTTGTTCGCCATTCCTGTAGTTCCATCATTTTAAGTATGTTATATAAAGGAAATCATGCAGTATGTAACATTTTTATGTTGGCTCTATTTACATTCAATGAAATCACCTTGAAATTCATTCATATTGCTGCAAATATCAATAGTTTGTTCCTTTTTATTGCTGCCATAATGTTCCATGCTATGGATTACTTTCACTCATTGCAGGACATTTGGGTTGGGTTTGCTTGTTCTAGTTTTGGGCTATGACAATTAAAACTACTGTGAACATCATCTACAAGTTTTTGCATGAACATAAATTTTCATGTCTGTAGAATAAAAGTCCAGGAGTGTGGTCATTGGATCATATGGTAAATATATGTTAAATTTTATAAGTAGCATCCAAACTCCTAGAGTGGCTGTACTGTACATTCACAAGAGTAATTCATAGGAAATCCATTTCTCCACATGCTTGCCAGCTCTGGCACAGCCAGTATTTTATTTGTATTATTATTTTAACCATTCTAATAGGTGTGTAATGAAAAACAGATGAACTTTTAATTGTATTTTGAAAACTCTATATAGATAGTTGAATGAACACTCTGAAGTGAACACAATTTCCTGTATTGTGTATGAATATATTGCCTTAGTTAAGAAGTAAAAGGACAGGAGGTTGGATCTTAGTCCTCTATATTTGTAAGTAAAAATGACACAAAATCATGAAAATGCAAGACCATCAAAAACCACAAAGGCCTGTTTATTTGTAATAGATTCCCTTTGGAATCCTTGTGGCCAATTTCAGGAGGAGAGCAGAAAAGAGGTTCTGGTTTGCTATTTGCCTTGATGGCCTGATTCTCAATGATCAAGTGATAAGAAGCCCTTGGAAGACTTTCCCATGAGTTTAGCATGCTTAGACTAAAGAAAGGTGAGACCTGGGTTGTCACATTGTTCTGAAAGCTGAATATTGTTTTATTTAAAAACAAAACCAAAAATAGCACATTGGGTACTATCACAAAATGCAGTCAAATGCTACTAATTTTTTCTGCTAAGGAACATTTAACTAGATTAATGAACTAAAAGTCAAATGTTAAGCATTTTTTAACATTCTAGCACTTTTAATCAATATCTCTGTAGCTGTCCTTCTTCTCTAAATACAAGATTAATTATTGAGCACTTGAGCTACTTAAATATTACAGCCTACAGAAATCTTTCCACTTGAAAAAGATTGCACCAAAATTTTCCAATGTCTGTTTTAAGAAGTGGTAGTTTCATAGAATATGAATAAGCCCCGAAAGGGCTTCATGACCAATAAAGGTAAATAGCTTCTTTACCGCAGATCCTCTCAAAGTCAATATTAGATGAATGAATGAATGTACAATATGAAACTCCAAGAAGTTACTGGGTACTGAGAACTTCTCCAGAACTTATTTGTCTGTAGAATTCTTTTTAAAACTATCTCAAGGGACTATATTTGAAAACCTTGGATCAGATTGACTGAAAACATAATTGGTACATAAATGATTTACATATTATTTAAATTGTTGTGGGGAAGAGAGCTGTCAGAAATGCTCTAGTCTAAAAATGGGAAAACATTCATTTTCTTGAATGTGTTTTTATGGCCAACTCATAAAGAAATCTAGTTCTGACTAGACTGTTAACATCTTTTATGATTCAACAATTGTTCATTGATTGCCCTAGACATTAAGAAATGTTGCATATGACAAGGTGGGCCTAATACTTAGGTGAAGTGTAGATAGGTGCAGCAAACCACCATGGCAAATGTTTACCTATGTAACAGACCTGCACATCCTGCACATGTACCCTGGAACTCAAAGTAACATAAGATAAAATTAAATTGAAATTTTTTTAAAAAAGAAATGTACTCCATTTGTAACTTTATAGGGTTTGATTGTTATTCCTTTAAAGCCTTAACTTTTTTGGTTTTTAAAATTATTTTTTAAAGTTTAAAAAACCGCTTTTGATAATAATCATCCTAACTGGGTGAGATGATACCTCATTATGGTTTTTGTTAGTATTTCCCATATAATTAGTGATGTTGGCACATTTAAAAAATATATTTATTGACCATCTGTATGTCTTCCTTGGAGAAATGTCTGTTCAGATCATTTGCTCATTTTTAAATCGGATCTTTTGCTTTTTTGCTGTTGAGATGTTTGAGATCCTTGTATATTCTGGGTATTAATTCCCTGTTGGATGAATAGTTTGCAAATATTTTCTCCCATTCTGCATGCTGCTTTTTCACGCTGTTGATTGTTTCTTTTGCTGTGTAGAAGTTCTTTAGTCTGCTATAATCCCATTTGTTTATTTTCACTTTTATTGCTTGTGATTTTGAGGTTGCATTCACAAAACCTTTTCCCAGACCAATGTGGTATAAATTTCTCCTGTTTTCTTCCAGTAGTTTTATAATTTGGGGTCTTACATTTAAGTCTCTCATCTATTTTGAGTTTATTTTTGTATAGGGTGAGAGGTAGGGGTCTTATTGCCTTCCTCTCTATATTGATATCCAGTTTTCTCAGCACCATTTATTGAACAGTCTGTCCTTTCCACAATGAGCATTCTTGGCATCTTTGTCAAAAATCAGTTAACTGTAGATACATGGATTAATTTCTGGGTTATCTATTCTGTTCCATTTGTCTATGTTTCTGTTTTGGCTACTATGGTGTTGTGGCATATTTTGAAGTCTGGTAATGTGATGCCTCCGGCCAGTTCTTATTGCTCAGGATTGCTTTGGCTATTTGGAGACTTTTGTGGTGACATACAAATTTTAGGATTTTTCTATGAAGAATATTATTGTTATTTCAATAGGGACAGTCTGGATTTTTACACTGTGGCATCTGGAAATTGATAATGTGAATTTCTTAGATTTTGTATCCAGCCTCATCTGCAAAGTATGTCTTTTAAATAGTAAGCTAATTTTCCCCAACTTTATCCCAACTGGTCAGGAAATAAGAAGATGCAGATACTTTTTAATATGTTCTACTTTATTCATCAAAATATCAAAATAGCTGCAACAGATATTTCTTCTTCCATAAAATGTGACAGATATAAATATCCACATGTAAATACATTTGAATTTAATATAATTTTATGCATAATAAAGTTAAAATCCAAAGTTACCAAGGGGCAATAACTTGCCTTACTTCCAAGTGATTTATATGCATATAAAAGATTAGAAAACAATTATCCTAGAACATATTGGAAAGTTTTTGTTTTCCAACTAGTGTTAAATTTCACTGGAGCTATAATTTAGATGGGTCTCATAAATTTTCTCGAGATGTTTTTATTAGCATTTAGCTTTACAGTTATCAAATAGATAACCTAAAAGTATCCTAAAGTAACCAAATTTGTTTTCTGAGACATACAGGTAAATGAACCAGCAAACAAATAGCATTTTACTCACTGTACATACCAACATTCATGACCACATTACACATATGGTGCTTTATGAAAAGGTTTTACTGACTTTGTCCCCATATCATCTCCTAGGACTTATTTTTTAAGCATTACATTATTTTTTACAGGTGAAAATGTCTGATCCAGCTTATAGCTCTTTTCCGTGTAATCCCTGCGTTTTTTCCACATTTGGTTCTTTTAGTCCTTATAACACATTCTTCTTTTTTTAATCTGGGAAAATGTAGCTTAGGCTCACCATCTGTTTCATAGTGAAGTGCTTGTATTCAGCTTCCCAGATGGGTTGAATAAGAGAAAAAGGTTAAGTGATTTAACTTGAATTCATACAGTGAGTCATCTGCCCTCAGCGCAGGCATGACAAAGTGAAAGATTTTCAGGGTTTTCTCTTCACTATACAAATTTGGAGATCACACAAGTTTCATCAGAGCATTCTAAAAACTGGTCAGAGTAGCAAATATATTCAACATGGCTGAACAATAATTTGGATTTCAAATGTATTCATAATATACAACATTAAAAAAACTTTGAAAAAGTAAACATTTTCTTTTGACAAGATATGAAAACTTCACTTTTTCAATATTATTGCCTCCTGGCTGGTATTCTAATCTCTCTTTTCCTTTCAATACATCTTTTAATCTGGTCTCATATTAATTTTGTAACAATTCCCCTTTTTTTCTCATCTCTGCTGGAGAGTAGACAGTTTCTTCCTAACAACAGTGTACAGACCTCCAGCCCTCCAAAAAGTGCCTAAATTTATATTCTGCAACCTTTTTTTGGTCTGAAGAGTAGAGCTTCAATTCAGTTCTAGAGTTTGGATAGGAAAATAATTTTCATTAAAAGAGAGAATTCAGATAGCAGGGGATACCTGTATCAATAAAAGGGTGTTTATTAATTAAATTTGTTGCATTTTAATAAGAAGAAAAGAGGTCCAAGTTGATTTACTCAACTTTGACAAAGCTCTCATATTGTGTAGAATCCTAACCCAAATACTATGAATGAGGTTTGAAAAAAGTAGAGACAGTGCTTTCTCTTGAGGAATTTGGTCACTAGTAAGTGGAAACCTTAATCAAAGTATCCCCATTTAGGGTAGAAACAGGTTATTTTATTAATGAACCAAATTCTGTGACAATCAACTTAACCAAGATCTGATGGAATTATTATTTTTTATTTTTACTGAATTTTTCTTTGAACAATGGAACCAGTTATGCACCCTGCCATGGACTGAATGTTTATGTCTCTCCAAAACTCATATGTTGATATATTAACTTCCAAAATATCAGTATTAGGAGGTTGCACCTTTGGGAGATTATTAGGTCAAAAGGGTGGAGCCTCTATGAATGGGCTTAACATCTTTATAAAAGACACAAGAGAGCTTGCTTCTTCTCTCTCTGCTGTCCACCATGTGAGAATCCAACGAGAAGGCAGTCATCTACAAACCCTCACCAGAGGGAAAAGGGCCCTCACCAGACACCAGATCTGCCAGCACCTTCATCTTGGACTTCCTAGTCTTCAGAACTGCAAGAAATACACTTCTGCTGTTTAAGCTACCCAGTCCATTGGTATTCTGTTAGGCCAGCCTAAAATGACTCAGACAACTCTAACACGATCAAAACATGGAAGTCACTCTGCCTTTAATGTTTAGTGGCAAGATTTCTCAGTCTCTTAGTTTACCACAAAGTTATTCGTTTTATTGATTAACATGTGGCCATATTTTGATACCATGTGTTTGAGGCTATAATGATGCAATATAATTTATCTGCTTTTTAAATGATTTGAAAAAAAAAACCTTTACTTTTAGGATTAATTTAAGTTTCAAAAAATAAAGTAACTTGGTCATAGAGGGCTTGTAAATTCACTATAAGTTATATATAATATAACTTGTGTGTACATATACATACATAAACCTAGCCATATGCCTGGCCCATAATTTAGTGACTATTACTTAGCTTCACAAGAAATATGTATGATGATCTCAACAATCTAGAAAATCACTCTGAATATCTATGTCATACAACACAAAAAGTACTATTAATAAAAACAATATTAAAGTAAGTTTGAACTTTCAACTTTATTTTTGTCTATGTGAGGTTTCAGATGCAGTTATCCTAACTCCTCACCAAGAATCATCTTTAAGTCTAATTACTTGTTCAATTTCTCTCTGCCCAGCTAGATTGTAAATTCTGGAGGGCAAAAATGCTCTCTTCTTATTCAGAATTGTCTCTGCAGCTTCTAGATTAGTATCTGGAGCATTGTAATAATATTTGTTGAATTGAATTGCATTAAAGACCATCTGCTTTTCATTTTAGGAGCTCATAGATTATAGGGGAAGCAACAGTTGAAGAAATAATTTTAATCAAAGTAAATAAGCATTTTCATATGAGTATGCATAGAGTTAGTTATGCGACAAATAAAGAGCTAGGGTGACAGAGTAATTCACTAAGAATGCCACTGGTGACCTGAGTCTTGATGAATGATTGGGGCTATCCAGGCAGAAGGGTGGGCAAGGTATTCCAATCTAAGGATCATACTTGATTCTCAATAACTGGAAATGAAAAAAGATCTCCTTTACCTTATTCTCTTTCTCATGTAGTCAAAGACTTGAAAAATGTTGAAAATATTTCTTTCAATCACATACGATTCAGGAAGATGCCAACATGCCCAGATGGATGGTTTTCAGATTCACACTTTGGAAACACATGGTGCCTCTCTGAGGCAATTGTGTACTGTTTCTTTTAAAATAGCAGAAAGCATATGGGAACAGGATTGGATCTGTCAGCTACTATCAAAAGAATAGTGAAACTTTTAAAATAAATTAAATCAAAACCTATAAAGTGACAAAATTTTATCATATTTTGAAATTCTGAAGTTTTACATCTGAAGATATATATGTCCATTTAAAAGGAAAAAATCTACTTTTTCATATAAACCACAATCCCTGCTAGAGCTGCAAAATCTGAGGCCAAACGAGAGACAAGGTGAGTGAAATGAGAGAATGCGGAGGAATTACATTCATTGGCAGTGGAGTATTTCTACTCTTCACCCATGTTACAATTTTTTTTTTTCTTAAGCAAAGCATATCTAGAACAATTTGTATACTTTCCTCCAATGTCTCTGCTTTCTTTTGTTAAAATAAACATATAAACAAACAAAAAACTCAAATTTAATATACGTAAAAGCATCTGCTTTCGTTTAAGTAATTTAGGCGTTACAATTGTCTGTTGCAGATTTATAACAGCTTTGTTTGAAGGCATCTCTCTCTATATCCTATTACTTCCTTTTAGCAAGCATAAAGCTGGGTGGTTTCCCATGAATTCTAACCACAGTGCTTTCATGAATGAATTTTATAACCAGGTCAAATCTTCCTAATGCTAGACTCATAACCCTACCCCACACTGTTTTCCATGGCAACCTATTTTTCCCCAAATTATTATTATAGGATTTGGGATGATTAAACATCAAAGAGAATGATTTCATAGAGCTGAACCTATGAATTAAAGGAGCTTTAGATACCAAACCTCTATTTTAAGAAAATATTTTTTTTCAAGGTGGATGACTTCCTTTGCCTTTTATCCATGCAGGGTCCTTGATCCCAGATAAAGTAAACAGTCTGCTAGTGGCTTTGAAGTCATCTGCTATCCTTCATTCAGAAATGTGCATTATTCTTTTTGACACCCACGTGCATAGAACTTTGTTTCCAAAATCTGTTACATGCCAATATGAATTTGTCAATATTAATTCTGGAATGCTCATATAAGTTTAAAACTATCTGTCATTCTTATTTGTTGACTTCTGGGATAGGTGTTATGGAGGCATTCCAAGAAGAATCAGATACATATCATGCCCTAAAGTTCCCCTATGTTAGGGGAACTAAGTTGCACAAGTAACTATATCCCAAGGAATAAAGTGATAAGTACCATAATAAAGACACAAATGAAGTTTATAGGAGTTCAGAAGAGGAATAGCTACTCATAGGTGTTTAGCATTCATAGACATTTGGCTGATTGTTCTTTGTGGGGTATTCAAAAACATCCTTTGACACCATCAAAATGTGTTGGTCAAAGTCAGGGTGTCAAATGTCCACAACTAGCACATTAGGTTTTATATTTCTACATGATATTAAATCATCATTATTATCATTATCATCCTCACTTATTTTCAACTATTCTATACTCTATTATAACTACAGGCAAAAGTAGAAAGTGATTAAGAAATCATGTGGACTTTATTTTTTATGGTTTTTAAAGTGGAATTGCATGCATTTTAAGTCCTATTTGTATGTAGCTGAAAATCCAATAAAAGCATTTTTAAAAATTAATTTTTTAATATTGCTTTCAACTTTAGAGGCGCAGTGTTCTCAACATAGAAATGATGTATTTGGGGTTATTAACATGGTTTGGATTTGTGTCCCCATCCAAATCGCATGTCAAATTGTAAACCCCAGTGTTGGAGGAGGGGCCTGCTGGGAAGTGATTGGATCACAGGGGCAGATCTCCCCATTGCTGTTCCCGTGAAAGTGAGTGAACCCTCCCAAGATCTGGTTGTTTAAAAGTGTGTAGCACCTCTGCCTGCTCTCTCTTCCTCCTGCGCCAGCCATGTAAGAGGTGCCGCCTTCTTTTTTGCCTTCCATCATGATTGTAATTTTCTGAGGCCCCTCCAGCCATGCTTCCTGTACAGCCTGCAGAACCATGAGCTAATTAAACCTCTTTTCTTTATAAATTACCCAGTCTCAGGTAGTTCCTTATAACAATGCGAGAACAGACTAATACAGTTATTAATGTATAAGCTCTGTGTTTTCAAATTTACTGTTCTAAATTGAATCAGAAACTGGAAACCTTAAAACCTAGTATGATAGGAAGCTGCCTAGCTCTTAACATAACTTAAAAATATTGAAGTCATGTTTATTGGTTAGTAATTTATTTGTATTGTAGCAATTTGAGATGTTTCCTAAAGCAATGTTGAGTAGAAAAGAAGCAGTAGAATTATTATCAAAGGAACCAAGATAATAGTTGGAGAAATGAGCTTTGAGATTGCATGACAAAGTAAGGAAGGAAATGGAAGAATAAAGCCTGAAGGTCAGTAGTCGAGAGCAAAATCTCTTTTGGTGAACAGACTGAGAAATTAGTTCAGAATAAGGAGGTTTTAGTTTCTCTCTTCACATAATGTCTGACTCATTGACAGGGCAGGCATGGTAACTTGAAGGAGTTGTAACTTTGGGTCTATCTTTATTTAGTTTCTGAATAGATACACTACAGTCTTACCACCAAGTATTTATATTTTAAGTAATAATTAATGATCATCCAGTATTCAGGCCAAGTTTAGGCAGCTGTTATTCTATTACCATGACTCTGTAAAGGTATCACCTCTATTTTCTGAGTTTCTAATTCAAATCATAGTGATGAGTAAATCTGTAAGTTGTAGGCACTTGCCAAAAAATAAAATTAGTCTTAGTGCAATGAAGATTTGATATCTAAATCCCAACAGAAAATAAAATATGCTCCACAGAAAACATATGCTTTGTCAATTAAAAAACAAACAAACCAAAAAAAAAATATATGAGCATTTAAACACTAATTTCTAGCAATTGTGCCAAAAACAGTTCAGCCATGCATGTTCAATTATAATATATTCATAATGCAATATCATAAAGGAAACACATGCTAATAAATAAGCTTGTTCACCATAAGTAATGTCTTAATTATCTGAGAAGTAGATGAACTCACTCACATTTAATAAATTTACCTTAACATCAATGATTTCTTTGCTAAGAATTCTGTTTTTGCCCAAAGTGGTGTCACATTCCATAGGTTTAAGCTCCCATCTTAGAGCAGGACCAGGAAGCCAAGTCTCTTTATTTCCAAACATATTGGTGTCTAGGTAGTAAAAAATAATAAGTAAAATTAAGTAAACCTTTTATTATCAGCAGGATTAATACAGACTTCCAGGGAGATGGTAGCTGAATATTTTGCCCCCTTCCTCCCATTTGTGCATCCCAAAGTCACTAACAGGCTTTGGTGGAAAATCACCTCCGCTGTTCCCCTGCTGGTGCGACCACTGTGATGAGACAGAGCCTTGGACACCCAGTGGTCAGTTTGCTGTACCTGCACACCTCTGTCTTCCAAAAGTTTATTTCCTCCTGTGTTCCCAAATGGCTGCTGTATCTACAATATAACATGCTACATTGTGGTGAGTAGTGAAGTCAATTTAAATTTCCCTAACTGAATTGTGAATCCTTTGGGAGCCAAGTCTATTTCACTTTCTCATTTTCAAGACCCTTGGGACAGTAGCTTGCGTATTGTGAATAAAAGAGGGTAGTGGAACTGCATTACTATTGACCCTGTTTTAAGCATTTGCCAACAGTATTGTTGGGGTATCATGAGGGAGACATGAGCTCGTGAAGCGAGCTTAAAGAATTTCCCACAAAACCTTTGCAAGCTTAGTAAGCTGACTGTCTCTTTTGGGTGTGGAGCTACATTAACCTAGCTCAAGAAACCAATACATAAAATAAAAATGTCAACATATTACCTTACACTAAGAAACTTACATCTCAGCTCACATTTCTTAGAATGTCTTTCCATCAGATTCAGCTACCACATGGTAGAAAAGTAGAAAGGTATTTGGTTTTTTTTGTTTGTTTTTGTTTTTTGTTTTTTGTTTTTCATCAGTGTGTCACTCTGTTGCCCAAACTGGAGTGCAGTGGTGCGATCATGGCTCACTGCAGCTTCAAACTCCTGGGCTTAAGCAATCCTCCCAACTCAGCCTCCTGAGTAGCTGGGACTATAGTCACGTGCCACCACCCCCAGCTAATATTTTATTTTTTATTTATTTATTTTTGTAGATACAGGGTCTCTATATTGTCAAAATCTTCCCACCTTGGCCTCCCAAAGCGTTGGGATTACAGGCATAAGTCACTGAGCCCGGCCTCAAGTGTTCTTTACTAGCAAGACTGGCTGACATTAATAGGAACAGGCAACATATTACTATAATTTAAGTTTAAACTGCATGGTTCCCAGGAATCCAACTCATCTCTTAGGATTGTTTCCAAGGAGACACTATCAATTATGGTTTGAAGGAAACAAAAAATTTCCAAAGAAGAAAGAGCTTTTATAGGAATTTAAAATTTACTCATTTGGTCTCTTTTAGCACAACTGTCTACCTAAATTAATGAGATTTGTCTTATTTGTTGCTTAACTGAGATTTTATTCTATTCAAGGGAAGTTAATGACCTGAAGAATGGACATCTTTCCCAACATGATAGACACATGCAGGCTTTTATTTTCGGATAAATAAAATTTTAAAAAAAATTGTCTTCCACGAAACTGGTCCCTGAGACCAAAAAGGTTGGGGACTGCTACACTAAAGAACCTCGGTTTAGGCCAGGAGCAGTGGCTCACGCCTGTAATCCCTGCACTTTGGGAGGCCGAGGCAGGTGGATCACCTGAGGTCACAAGTTCAAGACCAGCCTGGCCAACATAGAAACCCCGTCTCTACTAAAAATACAAAAATTAGCTCGGTGTGATGGTGCACACCTGTAGTCCCAGCTACTTGGGAGGCTGAGGCAGGAGAATCGCTTGAATCCAGGAGGCAGATGTTGGAGTGAGCTGAGATCACACCACTGCACTCCAGCCTGGGCAACAGAGCAAGACTCTGTCTCAAAAACAAAAAAAGACCAAAAAAAAAACTTTGGTCTAATGGCCACAGAGGCTCAGTTTGCAGTTAATATCTAGCACAAGTTGGGGCCAATCATACCTTCTCTCCTGGGAAAAATAAGGCTGGGAATCAGAAGTACCAGTCAATCTCTATCGGGGCTGCACTTGAGTGACATAAAGTGGGGGCTGTGTTGGTCATGTACATAGCATATCCCACATGTCAGAGATTCCCTTTTAGTGCCTAGCTAAGCACTTGATATACAATAGGAGCTCCTTTTCGTTTCCTTGTTTTTTGTTTTTGTTTTTGTTTTTTTAGTGAATACTAGGTATTAGGCAGTGCTAGAAAAGTTATATATATATTAATTCATTTAATTCTAACAGCAACACTATAAGGGATAGGTTTCACAGATGGACAAACTCAGTTACAGAGAAGTTAAATACCTTGCCCAAGACTAAGCGGCTAGCTGGTAAGTGGTAGAACAAGAGCCAGACAGCCTGGCTCCAAAGTCCAAGTTCTCAACCGCTATCCAGCTGCTTTTACCCAGAAGGGTAAGAAGAGAGGAAGAAAAAAAGAGGAGGAAGGAGAGGGAAAACTCATCCAATTTTTTTTAAGTCCCTCTACATCCACAGAGTTAACAGTAGTGAATTTCACTACTCGCAAGCAATACTGATAGTTCACCCTCTGCAGTGACTAAGACTTTGCTAAGGCCCAACTGAATGATGTCATGTGGCAGTGCTAGCACCCAGCATAAGGAAGGGGCACGACCCCTATTTCTACCTCAAATCAACTCTTTGATCTCTCAGTTCTCAGGACTCTAATACATTTTTTCTTTGTGTAATGACCACCAACTCAGAGACAAAAGTTGGAAAATGTTGGAAAGGAAGCTACTTTTGTGATGTAAGGATAGACATAGAAAACACGTTACTGTGAATGAAAATGTGATTCAGTAGCAATCCAGGAAGATTTGTGCCCAAACATTTCAGTATTTGGAAATTTGGTAACTGATTTCCAGACATAGTCCTGGAATGTCGAGGGTCTTACCAAGGTATCTCTTATTAGTCAATTAGCTTTGAATGCTTGGCATTTAGAATTCTTTCCTCCCATATGAGACTCGATGCTTTTAACTGAGAGTTTGGCAAACTTTGTAGGTGGAAAACTCAAGTTACTTTTTTACTCATTTTACATTTGAAGTTTTCCATTCAAAAAGAAAATAATAAATGGCACAAAAATCAGATCCAAGTAGCCTAAGATTAAATATGAATAATTTTAGAGAAATGATAAAATTATATTAAAATGGATTTCTTTGTTTAGATATTATTTTATTGTACTCAGTAATTTTATGGCTTTGTGGGGAGGCTCTAGGCTAATGTTACAAAGAAACACACAATGCTTTTCAATAGCAACAAGTAACGAATCTGTAAACTAAGAAATGTTTAACCATGAAAAACATTAACTTTCAAATATGTATAAATGTTAACATAATTAAATTTAAAAAGTAACAAAACATATTTACAAGGACACACTAGCCTAAACTCAGAGTCACTATGAGACCGAACAATCCCCTACCCGACCTCCACTCAAACGCCCCCCGCCACACACAAACACACACACAAACATAGGCTATTATTTGCCTAACACCATGTAAATGCCAAGTGAACCAACTTGTGAGTCTCATTGTTCAAAGTCAAGGGCCTGGATAGATATCCATTTTCCTTACGGAACTGGAAGGAGATGAGCATAGAGTGAAAATGCATGTGTGTCCTGATATAAATCAAAGACCAAAGAAGAAAGCTAGGTTCAAAACCCAGGAAGTAAATTTAAAAATTTTTTGTCACAGTAGGACAGTTCTCTGTTGGGCTTCCCTATTGGGAATCTTACAAAAAACCTGGAGAAATCTCTTTTTAGATGTCAAGAATGTACGTAATTAAAACCAACCAGGCTCTAGTTAATTCTGTGATACTACAAAACATATTTTATCATTAGTGATTATTCCAGGTAAGAAATTAAGCTGGCAAAGCTCAATTTATGAGAAATGCATCAGAATCATTAAAAGAATCTTGTGATACAAATTTCCAGTCTACTGGAAAAGGGGAGGTTTTGTTTGTTTGTTGTTTGTTTGCCAGTTTAATCCCTAAAGCTTTGGGATATTCAAAATCAAATTATACACTAATGGTTACTTCTTTTCACATAGGCACAAGGCTTATGTAAGATTTTTATTTGGTGGGGGGCATCCTATAAACCCCTAAAACCAAAGAGTAATTTTGAAACTAACAATAAGAATCATGGATCATCCAACTGCAGATGTATTTCAATCTTCCCTGAATTGGATTTGGACTAGTTGGCCTCTTAAAGTGTTTCCTAACCTATCTATGTTTCCAGTTTTCAATGATAGTACTGATAGTACACTGTTGCTATTCTAGAAAATATTTTTTTGAAGACTGGTCCATTATATTTTCAATTTGGAATTTTATTTTATTTTATTTATTTATTTATTTATTTATGGCCGAGTCTCTCTCTGTCACCCAGGCTGGAGTGCAGTGGTACTATCTCGGCTCACTGCAACCTCTGCCTCCTGGGTTCAAACGATTCTCCTGCCTCAGCCTCCCAAGTAGTGGGATTACAGGTGTCCGCCACCATGCCTGGCTAATTTTCGTATTTTTAGTAGAGATGGGGTTTCACCATGTTGGTCAGGCTGGTCTCAAACTCCTGACCTCATGGTTCACCTGCTTCAGCCTCCCAAAGTGCTGGGATTACAGGCATAAGCCACTGCACCTGGCCTCAATTTCGAATTTTAATATCCAAAGATATAACTCACCTATATTAAAAAGAGATTGTCTTCCTATACAATATATTTACAGAAATTTGTATCACAAGATTCTTTTAATGATTCTGATGCATTTCTCATAAATTGAGCTTTGTCAGCATAATTTCTTACCTGGAATAATCACTAATGATAAAATATGTTTTGTAGTGTCACAGAATTAACTAGAGCCTGATTGGTTTTAATTATGTACATGCTTGACATCTAAAAAGAGAGTGAGGAAAAAAAGAGAGAGAAAAAGAGAAATTACAAAAACACAAAGCTCTTGTTAATTCACATCTTAATGTCTTCTTTCCAGACCATACCTGGAGTTCTAAACAGCCCTCAATTTGACACCTACTTTCTGGGGTTACAGACAGTTGCATTCCTTAAAACCAGTGACAGTCACAATGAAAGAGAAAAGATTCTCAGGAGGAAGTAGCTGTCAAGGATGGCTAGACTGGAAATTTTACTTATCTTGACAGCAGTTTTGACTGTAATGGATTAAGCTCCAGGATTAGTGTTTGCCTACTTTTGCCTTTTCCTCCCCTCTTCCTGGTTTAAGCAAATGTCTGGATCACTATGATGTTGTTCTATTGTCTGGATGTGGTTGTCACAACTGGGAGGGGGATGCTAATGGCAGCAAATGAGAGGAAGTCGAGACAAATACTAAACATCTTACAATGTGCAGGGCAGCCTCCCTCAAAAAGACTAGCATGTCAGTAGTGCCAAGGTTGAGGATCCCTGCTTAATTCCCACCTTACAAAGAGCAGAGCATGTGTGTGAACTAAGAACAATGTTTATTTTGTGATTTAATAGAATGCCTCAATTTGTGCTCTTGTCATAATATAACTCCTTTAAACATGAAATAAATATACAATGTATCCTTCTGTATATGAAAGATTCTTCTGTGCTTAAAATATTTTCTCCCTGGGTGATAAATAAAATTAAGAATCTCTGACTCAGGCATAAGGTGAGTGAAAATTGCTTGCCACTGTTGGATAATAATAGTAATCTGCAGCTAATAAAGTCATTCTCAGCCTCAGCTGTACATTATGATCACCTGGGGAGATTTTGAAAAGCAGTGGCTCCAGGGCTCTAACCCTTGGAGATGCTGGTTTAATTGGTCTTAGTTTGGGCTTGAGCTTGAGTGTCTTTGGAGCTCACCAGGCAGTTTTAACGTAAAGCCAGGGTGGAGAACCACTGAATCTATCTAGCCTGTGGGCACCATTGCAATGACCATAGATTTAGAAATTCAGCTGAGGGCTCAGACTGGGACTCATTCTGGTAATTAGCTAGGTAAATAAAGCAGTTTCAGTAATTTGCCTTGATACTCTAACCTTATCCGTTTCCTCTGAGTGACTGAGGTGTGGAGGGTGAACCCCAGAATCTCCCCAAAGTCCATCAGTACCTGCTAAAGGCTGTGTGAAGGACTCCCGCACAGAATCTGAACTCTAAGCATGTAAAAGCAACACTATGAATGCTAGGTGTCCACACTGCTAGCTTTCCATGAGTGTTTATCCTTTCTTCACATTGTTATTTTTATACCACATGAAGTAGGGATTGGGACCACCTCAGCTCTTGCCTATTAACTGCTATCTCAAACAGTACCTTTTCAGCAGGGAAGATGGGATGCTATCTGAAACCAAAACATTAGGGAAAGCAAATATATTTTCAAGCGCTAGTGTTTCTTCTCCTCTTCCCCAAATCCCCTGGAATGAAAAGGATGGCTTTTCCCCTTTGCTTTATTTTCTTCCTTCCAAAGGCAGGCTTCTAGGCTAAATCTTAATGATAAATGTGGATATTTTCTCTCTAAATTTGGATGATTCCATGAGGGGGGTCTTCCCGTCACTGTTGTTCAAATATTAAGACTAGTGTGTGTGAGTACTGCAGGAAGGAATTAGATGAAGTAGGGAATGATCAAGGAGCTTAACAAATACTAGCACCACTCTTCACAAAGCCCACCTTTTAAAGCCCGTTGCTTTGCTGTAGGATCAGAGCCCTGTGTAATCCTGCACTGAAGTTTTAGGTTATGGCTCAGCCTTGAAATGATGCAAAGGAAATTTTACATAAAAGGAAAAATTTTAATGGATTGGTTTTATATTTATAAAAAATATTATCCTGTAATAAAAACATGTATATATACTGATGTTGAGTTGATCTAACTCAATAACTGTAGGGAAGCATACTTGTTCATTATCAATTCAGGAAAAAGGCCAAGATATTTAATAACAGCTGTTTTATTTGAAACATGATTTATATCAAGCACAGGGATAACACATACAAATCTGAAATAAAGCAATACGGAAACATTACTGACTCCTGACAGCCCCAGTGAGTGTGGCTAGTCATTTAGGGCACCATGTTAGGGCAATCAGGCCATCTCAGGATCTATTGAAAGTTGAGGGAACCAATAGAACCAAACCAATGAGAGTATGCAGTTCTCTAATAGCCAGCTGATTCTTATTCTATTATATGCCCTAATTTTAAGACAACTGTCATTGGAAATCTTAGGGGAAAATGGGGTTGTGTAGAAGACTGTATGTTAATTATCATCACGCACTTTTATTCCTTCAAGTAATTGTTCTAGTTATACTTTATGGAATATTCAGCTAGAAGAGGTAGTCAACACAGAACATGGAATTACAGAGCTAAGGCTGGGAGCGGTGGCTCATGCTTGTAATCCCAGCACTTTAGGAAGCTGAGGCAGGTGGATCACGAGGTCAGGAGTTCAAGCCCAACCTGGCCAACATGGTGAAGCCCCATACGTACTAAAGATTAAAAAAAAAAAAATTAGCCGGGTGTGGTGGCACACACCTGTAATCTCAGCTGCTCGGGAGACTGAGGGAGGAGAATCGCTTGAGCCTAGGAGGCAGAAGTTGCAGTGAGCCGAGATAGCTCCATTGCACTCCAGCCTGGGCGACAGGTGAGACTCCGTCTCAAAAAAAAAAAAAAAAAAGAATTACAGAACTGAAGGGATCTGAGAAAGTGCTGGTCTAGTCGCAGACTGAGATCTCATAAATCCAAGAAAGAAATATGATTCTTTCAGTTCTTTCTCAAGACCTAGAGAAAAACGAACATCAAACTCCTCTAATAAACTAGTTTCTTGATAACCTTTTAGATGTGATGCATTTGGGTCCTTTTTGTTTTTTATTTGCCAATATCTGCCTCTGAACTGTGATAAATGAGAATATTAGAAAATCACTACAACTACAAACGTCAATGTTTTGAAGTCAGACAGATTTCAGTTTAAATAACAATTCTAGCACTTCCTAGCTTTTATCTTTAGCAAGTTTTTAAATACCTGAACCTCAAACTCCTCAACTAGACATAAGAATTGCTGTGAGAATTACAAGCAAGGCACCTGGCACCAACTTGGCCACAGAGCTGGCCCTCAGTAAACAGTAGCTACAGTGATGATTCACATGGCGTTCTTCCTTGCCCCCATGTTTACTTCAACTACCTCCCTTTCAAGGCTTTTCGTGTCCTCTGTTCCAATAATGGAAATGTGGTTTGACCATGCAGAAATCGGATTGAGGCAAATTATCCAACAAGGAGCTATAACAATAATCAGGGAAACTGGAGAGTGAGCGAGAAAAATATTAAACATCTTAGTTCATCAGAATAAGAAAAATAAGAGGATTGCTGGGAACCTCAGATTATGGTATTGAAACTATATCCACACTTAGTCCTTGACTTTCGAGACTGACTCTGCCATCGAACATTTGCATGGTTCTTAGAAACGATAAAAAATATCAATTTTGAATTTTCAGGGGAGGAAAACAATATTGCGTCTTTAAATGGGTTTGCCTTTTTTAGAATTTATCACTATGATTGGAATTCACTTTTTAGTTTTGTATTTCAATGTCATATGTTACAAGAAACACCTTTGTTAAGTGAATAAATTCCCTTTCAAATTTGAGATAATTTGTCTTCCAGACTTTATTAATTATACTAGGTTGATTGTTTATTTCATTTTTTGAGACAGGGTCTTGCTTTATCACCCAGGCTGGAGTGCAGTGGTGCAATCACGACTCACTATACCCTTGACCTCTCTGGCTCAAGCAATCCCCCTACCTCAGCCTCCCAAGTAGCTGGGACTACAGGCTTGTGCCACCATGCCCAGCTAATTATGTGTGTGTGTGCGTGCAAACGCATGCACACACACAAGCATGCACATGCATGCACAAAGATAGAGCCTCGCTATGTTGCCCAGGCTGGTCTTGAACTTCTGGGCTCAAGCAATCCTCCCTCTTTGGCCTTCCAAAGTGCTGGGATTATATATGTGAGCCACCACACCCAGTTAATTGGTTGATAAAACTAGGATAATAATACCTATCCCAAGCCATTATTGTTGTAAGGTTTAAATTAAATATTTAAGTGTATATAAAACCTGGCAGGTACTATCGTGCTTAATAAATGTTCATTTACTTCCATCGTCATATAATGTTACTCAACATAAGTAAGTTTTTTTACTTACTACAAATGTTTTGAAGAAAAAGGTAAAGAAATAATATTTCTTTAAATTGATAGTGCAAATTGTAGGTTTCTTTATCTTGCAAACTTTCTTTTAATTTAGAGCTACCGTTAACCTAAAGAAAATCTCTTAAGAGAGACACGGGGCTAAAATTTAGTGCTTTGCAAGTACAATATGCTTCAGTATTTGGGATTTGCTTTCTCAAGAAGTTCTGAGTACAAGTAACAAAATGTTTGGAAGCCTATTAACGTTCGGTTTGGATTCTGCAAAAAGAAGTAGGTTTCAAAACTACCAAAATATTCTAAATTACATCTATTTGGGGGCAAGAAAAAAAAATCTAGTTAAGTCTAGATTTTATTCTAAGAGGAAACTATTTTTTGCCCTTTAACGTAAGTCTCATAGGGATCAAAATGAAAGTCAATTTAGAGGAAATCTATTTGGAAACAAGCTGAATCCCACGCCCTGGGAGCAGGCAGTGCAGTCTCCACCAGCCCCGCCCCCAGGGACTGAGTGACCACAGTGTTTTAACCCTTCGTGGGCATTGTTCTGGAAACAGGAAAAGGACCCATCTTATTCCAAAAGGCAAGTTTCATATTTTAAATGAATTCAGGATAAGAAAAATAAGAGGGTTGCCTGTTGTTTTTGCATAGAAACTATATTTCTATGCAAACACTTCCAGCAGAACTTTTATTTTGGGTTTTAAATAAGAGGGAAGCATTGTTGGAGAGACACAGTGAAATTACTGTGGAGAATGTATAATGGCTTTGAGGCTGATTGGGAGAAAATGTGTCCAGTTCCTGGATCAGAAAAGATAATGGTCACCAAAAGTAGTTCCCAATATCTCATATAAGCAAAATGTATCTCAATTCAGGTACTGTAGGTCGAGGGGGAACAATGGGTAAATGTGAATGTCATGTCTTTAAAATTCATCTTGACTTCTGGATTTATGCATTTGAAAGAGCATTAGTGGGGTTAAGTACATTATAAGGCTAGGGGATTGGGACTGAATCTTTTCTAATTCTGCAGAAAATACAATTCCCAGAATATTTAAACATAAAAGTTAATGAGTTAACCATGAGAATAATAGCATAGAATTTTCCCTTTAATTTTTTATTACAATTTAACAAATTTTTTATTCGAAGCAAATAATTTTTAATAAATGAGTACATCTGAAAAATAAAGCAGTCAAGCATTGCTTTTTAGCGTGAATACATACCTATTCTAAAAACTGCCCTATGTTTGTTAAAATTGCAAAATAAATATTTTACAACCTGAAGATTATACATAAGAAAAGACTGAATAACATGATGGGGTCATGACTATGCTAAAATGTTGGCTGAAAATAGTAAGAAAGAAAATTCTACATATGGTTAAGGTCTCAACAATCTCTTTTTAAAAGATGTTGGAAGAAGCCTGGAAGAAAATCCACTAAAGTGTTCTTAATGGTTGCCTTCAAATGGTGGTGTCATGGTTGAATTTTTTCAGCTTTATGTTTCTATTTCCATATTTCATATAATCTGCATGCTTTATTTTTACAATCCTTAGGGGGAGTAAAACAAACTTTCCATGAAATTATAACATAGAAGTATTCATATTTCTATTTCATTAGAGATGATATTCACACACCAAAAATTTGCCAGCTTTCTCTCCTTTTCTTTTTACTTGCTAATTTACTCTAATCTTACCAGGATTTTTTTTTTTTTTACTTCTTCTTAATCTCAATGAGAATTTTACTTTGAAAGAAGGAGCTCTAACTTTTTTTTTCCTACTCTAAAACAGTGTTTGTACTTTTTTCTGGACTCCAAGTTGGATGCCTTCACCAAAGTGGTTTCAAAGACTGGAACAAAAAAGCCTCCATCGAGGCCCTGGCTAGCACAGTCCCTGTTACTTTAAGAGTAGCATTCCACCTCCCCCTCACACCCACATACTTGTCCTCTCTTTGCACAGCAAGTGCCAAGCAGTGACATCTACTATAGTTTCTAGGACACGATGGTCTCTGCTCTACAGGGAAAAAGAGCGAGCGGGACAGAAAGAAGGCGGGTGGTGAGGGAGAAGGAGCACAAGCCCAGCTATGTTCCCAGAGGAGGAGTCACTTCCTCGCAATAATCCTGAGATGCTGTTTATGGCTGTTCTGCTGATATGAAGCCTGGAGCCGCAGGATGCAGCCTCCCCCTGGCTGTCCATTAATCACGAGGGGCTGTTACAGAGTGTACAGAGTGGGAGTTCTGCCTACAAGTGGCCTCTAACTGTCTCCAGCTCAATGAAATGAACCTGTGTGAAAACTTGTTTTATGAGAGATTGGTTTATTTGTAACTAAACTACTTCCTCTGTTATTTGATAAGATCAAATATTTGCTACTGATAATCTGAGAGTGTCACATTTATTATCCTGTTTCAGCCGTTGCCTAACTCCTTTGGAACTGACTCCGTTAACTCTTTGAGGGACAGCAGTAGGTTTTAGAGGACCGGTTTCTATTTTCTTTCAGCAAAGCCAATGCTATCTTTCAGACACTGAGTCAGCATTATTTTAGAACAGCTATGACATGTGAATCAAAAAGAAGCCTTTCTCTTCCAAAACAGAAAGCAGACAACCATAGTAACAGGAGGCTCTGATAAATTCCCTGGAGGTTCTGAAGCCACCATGAAAAGGAAGGAAAGGTATTCTGACTTACTAATATAAAAATGGTTTTGCACGTGCTAGGATTTCTGAAATCACACATTTTCAATATGTTCAGGATGACTTTCTATAGTTTGTTAGACCCTCAAATATCTATGTGGGGCATGATCTCTAAATCCGGCAGCATTCTGCATCTTGACACTTGGCCTTTTGGAGTCTGAGCTCATTTGCATTTGGCAGGACTTGATTTCCTGCTTTGACAGAACGGCGGTAAGGTGGTGGTGAAAGCCTTTACAGTGCTCCCTCGAAGGGCTCAAAGGACTTTCTGGATATATAAAATTATGTTTCCAAGAATTAAATGGACCAGAATGAGGCAGATTTTGTTTGAAACCAGGCTCTGTTACATGCAACACATCTGAAAAACTTACTTACACTGAAGCATCTCTCTTGACAGACTCATACTGGGACTGTTTTTCAGTTCTCTCACTCTCCAATCAGCTACACAGAGCTCTCAGTGAATGTAGAAGAGGCTAAGGAAATAACCACTTACGTGTGGCAAAATGTTCCAGCCTTGCAGAGATTTTCCCAAAATCATTAGACCCACCAAAATGCTTTCCACTGGCCAGGTCCACACCTTCCTCGTCAGATTTTCCATACTCCTCCAGCCTCCAAGTACTGTCCATTTGTATTTCCTAAGAGAGCCAGTCATTTATAGCTGAAAATGTAACCAAGTTTACTCTCATAAACCAGAGATCTCCTTGACTGTTAACCAGAAAAGAAAAATACTGCTTCTCCTAACTCATTTCAAGACGATCAGAATATGAAGATCCATACATACCTACTTTCCCCAAAAAAGGAGGTGAATTTGGGGCAGCTACATTTTAAGGGCATATAGAGATGAAAATATAGAGAGGAGGAGAGCCAGGCAAATCAGCTGCTCCATCATGGTGAGCCGGGAAGAGGTTAAGGGTTAATTGCATGTATCCCACCTCTGGTCTCTTTTAGACCCTGTTCTCAGCAGGTGGCTTTCCTGCCTCACTGCCCCAACTGCTTATCAGTGGAACAAAGACTGGCCCTGAGTAATGGCCTGAATTGTCATCTGCAGTAGATTTAGATTCAGAAATAGTCAACTAATCATTTGAATAGATTTTGCTTTTTAGTTCTCTCATTCTTCATTTTTGTTTTTCATTTTTTAAAATTATAGAAAAAAATACATAAAATGGGATCTATACCCTTAACAAATTTTTAAGTGTGCAGTACATTATTGTTAACTCTAAGCACAATGTTGTACAGTAAAGCTCTAGAACATTTTTATCCTGCATGACTGAAACTTTATACCCATTGAACAGCAACTCCTTATTTACTCTTCCCCCATTTTCTGGCAACCGTCATGATACCTTTTTCTTTAATGACTTTGACTACTTTAGATACTTCATGTAAGTGGAATCATGCAGTATTTGTCCTGTGACTGGCTAATTTCACATCAAGTAATGTCCTCAAGTTTCATCCATGTTGTAGCATATGACAAGATTTCCCTGTTTTTATGACTGAATAGTATTTCATTTTATGTATATAGCCTGTTTTCTTTATCCATTCATTCACTGATGGACATTTAGATTATTTCCAATTCTTGGATATTGTGAGTAGTTGCAATGAACATAGGATTGCAAGTATCATATATTTGATAAGGAGTTATATTTAAATTATATAAGGAACTCCTACAACTAGTAGCAGTCAAACACATAGCTAAATTAAAAAGTGGGCAAGGCCAGGTGTGGTGGCTCATGCCTGTAATCCCAGCATTTTGGGAGGCCGAGGCAGGTGGATCACCAGAGGATAGGAGTTCGAGACCAGCCTGGCCAACATGGTGAAACCCCCATCTCTACTAAAAATACAAAAATTAGCTGGGCATGGTGACAGGCACCTGTAATCCCATCTACTAAGGAGGCTGAGGCAGGAGAATCACTTGAACCCAGGGGGCGGTGGTTGCAGTGAGCCAAGATCGCACCACTGTAGTCCAGCCTAGGTGACAGAGTGAGACTCCATCTCAGAAAAACAAAAAAGTGGGCAAAGGACTTGAATAGACATGCCTTTAAAGAAGACATACAAATGGCCAACAAGTATATGTAAAGATGCTCATTGTCAGTCATTATCAGGGAAATGCAAATCAGAAACCACAAGGAGCTATCACCCCACACCTATTAAGATTGCCATTAATGGTCGGGCGCCATGGCTCACGCCTGTATTCCCAGCATTTTGGGAGGCCGAGGCGGGTGGATCGTTTGAGCTCAGGAGTTTGAGACCAGCCTGGCCAACATGGTGAAACCCTGTCTCTACTAAAAATACAAAAAAATTAGTTGGGCCTGGTGGCAGATGCCTGTAATCCCAGCTACTCAGGAGGCTGAGGCAGGAGAATTGCTGGAACTCGGGAGGCGGAGGTTGCAGTGAGCCGAGATCGTGCCATTGCACTCCAGCCTGGGGGCAAGAGGAAGACTTTGTCTCAAAAAAAAAAAGAAAGTAGCAAGTGTTGATGAGGATGCAGAGAAATTGAAACTCACAGGCACTGTTGGTGTGATTGTAAAATGATGCACCTACCATGAAGAATAGTATGGAGGTTCTTCAAAAAATTAAAAATAGAACTACTATGTGATCCAGGAATCCCACTTCTGGGTATTTATTCTAAAAAACTGAAATGAGGATCTTGAAGAGATCTGTACTCCCATGTTCTTTGTAGCGTCTTGGGGTTGTTTGTTTGTTTAGGAATTCAGTCCATGAAGACCTTACATGGTGTAAAAGTGAAGTGAAGTGAAGTGACGATGGGATGAAAAAGGAATGGAATTTGATTCAGAGACCTAGGCTTAGTTGAAACTACAACCTTTATGGAAAGTCACATCCTTCTATTATAAGAATTAAATGAGCTAACTCGGATAAGAGTTTTATAACCTGTAGAGCATTATACAAATTTTGTTGTCACTTGAATGAGCAAAACATTAATTCTGCTTATTCCTTCCCTTTCATAAAATTAAAAAACAAAACACTCTAGAATTTGAGTTTTCTTGTTTTATCAATTCTGGATTAACTGAGTAATAACTAACTTTTCATATCTTTTTTTTACCGTTCAGACACAACGGTATTTTACTGTTTTTTTTTAAAGTGTACAACAAAGTATTCATATGTGTTTATATGCATTATATATTAATATATTATCTTGGATGAGTCTTTTAAAAATTCTGCCGCAACCTTATGTAATAAATTTATTTTCAAGGTAATTTAAAAAATGTTTCTGTATTAAAAACATATTTGATAATCACTATTACTTAATCACTCACTCAGCCAGTGAGTCCCAAGTTTCAGGATAGAAAACTAATCAAGGTTGAAATCACTATAAAATGGAACAGAAAGTTCTGCTAATCAGGTTTTCTGGCATTACATTTCCACTGTTACCACCTGTGTTGGAAGGGAACAGGAGAGAAGGGAGCACAGTAAGTTAGTCTCCCAAGATGGTGCCATTTAATTCAGACTGTACTTTCTGCAGCTCTCTCGCGTCATCCATTTGATCACATTGCTTCTGTAGCTCACCATACCAAGTCAGTTCAGTAGCACAACAATGCTCATGGAACGTCAGGAGCCCTTGGTGGTGTAAACTATGTACAGCTGAAGTTAATTTTCTGCACACGCTCATGTTACTTGTTCACTTGGTAGTTCCTTCCAAGGGCTTCTAGCCATCCCTTGATTTCTTTTGCTCACAGTGTCTGATATATATTAGATACTCATAGAGGTTGTTTAGTTGTTGTAGTTACTCTTATATTTAACCTCATATTCATTTCTTTAGGATAAACCTGGCCTGTCTCAATTCTGGTGCTCCCCACATATGTGTTCTTTCTGGTCCATGATTATGGAGACTCAGGTTAATTGTTAAAATTTGGCAATAAACTTGACCTAGATTTGAATACTGGCTTTTCAATCTATAGCTCTGTGACCCTGAATAAGTTACTTAATCTCGTTGAGCTTTGAGTTCTTCATCTATAAAATGGGAATGACACCACCAATTGCAAATGTTTTGTGAAATTTTATGTAATGAGGTGTAAGTCTCTATTTTTTCCTTCTTTCTGAAATACATATCTTTTAATTAAAAAAAACAGATATTACAAAGAATGACACAAGATTCTGATTAAGATGAAATGGGAGATTTGAAAGAAGTTTTATACATGCTTTGGACATTCCTGAACTACATCTTCAGAGTGCTACAGATTCATTTTTATTTTCCTCTGCTATTTCAAGGGAAATTTGGGGGAGCACTATATATATATTATTTGGGATTTTTACCAACTGCAAGTGATGGAAACCTCAACTGAAACTTGAATTAAGTAGAAATGTGACTTGATGGTTCATATTGCCAAAGGTAGAATTCAGGCATAGCTGGCTCCAGAGTTTAAATGACAGCATACAGTAAGATCTTAATAAATCCTATTACTTTTGCTTAACAATCTTTTCATTTGCTATTTCTCCAATATAGATCAACTTATTCTCTCTCTCTCTCTCTCTCCTCAGACTATGTTTTCACTAAGAAAGTCCTCTAGTGTACTTAGTCCTCTAAGTGTACACGTAATCTTAGCAACTCTGATTCCCAGATGTCATCTTTTTCAAGTTTGGTTTGAATCCAAACTTTCCCCTACATGGTCCTGCTTGTTCCATTCTCACCATACTAGCACGAATTTAAAAGCACATGAAAGTGTTGGAGAGAACATTTGTTAACAGAATTGTCACTGAACTATTTATCTATGTGCCAGGTATAAGTCTCAAGCTTTAATCAAGAAATTTATAAGGAGCCGAGATTCTTGTTTTTCTCTCTTTTCTGTTTTATCCTTACCCTGAGGTGATGAATAGAGGATAGACTCGAGTGGAAAAGAAAACAAAAGTTAAAATTTTAGGCAGGGCGCGGTGGCTCACGCCTGTAATCCCAGCACTTTGGGAGGCAAAGGCAGGCGGATCACCTGAGGTCAGGAGTTCAAGACCAGCCTGGCCAACATGGTGAAATCCTATCTCAAAAAATATAAAAATTAGCCAGGCATGATGATGGGTGCATGTAATCCCACCTACTCAGGAGGCCGAGGTGGGAGAATTGCTTGAACCTGGGAAGCGGAGGTTGCAGTGAGCCAAGATCGTGCCATTGTACTCCAGCCTGAACGACAGTGAGACTCTGTCTCAAAAAAAAAAAAAAAAGTTAGTTAAAATTTTAAAAATGATCACTGTCTTAAAACATTATCTCATCTGATCCAAAATATTTCATCTAAAGAAATTTGCATATATTTACTAACATCACCTCTGCATTTCTCTGACTTTAGAATGAGTTTCCCAAGGCCACAGATAATGTCTTATTTATTTTTATATTTATTCCTAAAAGTCAGCACAGTAGCTGGTATTTAATGGAAGATCACAGAATGTCAACACATTTTATTTTACCCCAAATCATAAATAATAATTTTGATCAAGTTTAGTCACAAATTTCCGAAAGTAATTTTCTAAAAGGATCTCTTTTAATTGTGTAAAATGTATAATTTAAAATTCGGAATGTGAAAATACAGAACCTTTTTTTGTAAAGAGCATAGTAGTAAATATTTTGGCCTTATAGGCTATGCAGTCTGTTCAACTACCCAACTCTGTGGTTGTAGTGTGAAAACAGCCATAAGCAATATATAAGTGAATAAGTGTTACTGCATTTTAGCAGAACTTTATTTACGAAAACAGGCTAGATTTGGCCAAGGTTCATAGTTTCCTGACCACAGTTCTTAAACATAGCAAAAGGTATACAAGGTAAACTCACATTTTCTAGATGACCAATCACCCAGGTTTCCAGGACAAGGAAATGTTTGTTAGTTTAAGAAGCAGGGCAATCCTAGACAAACTGGATTAGTTGGTTACTTTACTTTTTCCTAGATTCTAATATCATTTGTTCATTCAATAATTCATTTAACACTGAGGGTCTATCAACATTCAACAAACGCAAAGTTTCAAATTAAAACAAAAGCACTTACATGTTCTGCCATTATCAGACAATTATATGACATGTTATTTTGCAGCCAATTGTAAAAGGCATTTTTTTACTTTATTATTAATTTTAAATTTAGACATACCTTAAAATGGACATACTATAGTAAACATCAACATAAAACAAGATAATGGAATATTATTCAAATAAAAAGATACAATATAGCAATATAAACTTTTTTGAATTTATGTCCTATAGAAGTTCTTAATCTATTTCACCAACACATTTTGTTCAGGAACTAAGTGATTTCTTCCTGTAATAAAAATCCCAAATTAAACTCCTTTAAAAGCCAGAAATTTAAAAAGGTTGGCAAATGTGCCTAGGAAAATCCCACTGACTTCATGATTCATCATTTGTATTGAAAATTAGAAGGTGAGAAAATTGAGAGGAAAAAAAATTCTCACTAATAAGGATTTTAAAAAATGATTCATTTCTTAAACTTTCTCAGAGAAGCAAATTATAGCCAAATTATAGGTCTGACAAATCACAATTAAGACATAAGAGGAATTATGGGGGTTGAGAGGCAAGGAAGGCCATGTTTCAACTTAAATATCAATTTCATTTAGCACCACCAAGATTAGCTCTTTCCTGCTACAAATTCTTTTAGTTTCTTAAGTCACTATTTAATGAAAAGGGAAATGGAATATTAGAGCCTGCATATATAAATCAAATGGGATTAAACATGGGAAGAAATGCATATAAAACATTAAGGAATGATCATACAAAAACATGGATAATATTTTTACCTGGAACATAGAAGGGAGGCTTCAAGTCCAACAATCAGGGAAACAATATGTGCATACATTTCACTTTGCAATTTGAGAACTTCCAGAGAGTTCCTGAAACTGTCATTGCCTGAATGGTATTTATTTTACAATAATTTTAACATTTGGAATAGAAAACAACACCGATTTTCAATTTCAGCATTGTATGGTGAAAATACAGTTTAAAAGGTCTGTTTTCTAGAGTATTTTGACAATGAAATGAATGACCTTAAAAATAAATGTTTAGCTGATGATTAAGACCATATTTTGTCTTACTACTTTCAATTTTGTTGCATATTTTATGGAAATGTCAAAGGAGAGCCATACTTTTTCTCAAATAATTCAAGCATAACCACAAAATAACCTTTAAACTGAAGAGCATTTTTATTTTATTTCATTGCATGTATTGAACAGATACTGTGTATGAAACTGGACACTTTAGGTGTGTACTAAATCAGGGCAAGGAGGATTTGGATTTTTGCTTTAGAATTTTAATTGCATTCATTTGCAATTCGGTAGAGGAAGTAAACAGCATACTAGTAACATTCATCAACGAGAATAGGGTAAAAAGTGATTTCAATAGAGTCTGTCTGCGTGAGCCTAATCAAATGAGGCCCGCAGTGTTAATACTCACTCCCATTCTCTCAGTCATAACAGTTCATTCATGAAAATCTTTATAATCATTTTATTAGCCATTCTTGTCAGAGGTCTAGTAACTTTAATTTAAGAGTCTTTGACTGTGGAAAAAAATGGAAGAATAAAAATGCGAAGGGGGCACTTGTGGTCTGAACGTAGACCATGCAGTTAAGCACATCCCCCTTCTCCTGCTGGAGAACATCCAAAAGCAACAAGGAGAAAGGGAAACAAAAATGCAAACTTCATTTTCAGCAGAAGTAGAAGACAGCTAAACCCCCCCAGAGCCCAAAATAGGTGTAAGGGCTGCCAAAAGCAGTGGAGACTAAGCAGAGGAGAGCAAGACTCATGTGGGAGGAAGCCCAGAGAACATGCCACAGAGTGAATTCCATAGCAGCAGGCAGAGGGCCAGCTTCTGAGATAGGAGAGAGCGAGCAAAATTCAGCTCTGCGAAGCGAGGGGCCCAGTCTGTTGTTAGATCTAGATCTTCCTTTGCAATGCAGGATTGGGGCACTTGTGTTGGCCCCAGAAGCAACCCTGGACCTGAGTTGATTTTTAGACAAAGAAGAAGGAAATCTAAATAAGGAATCACACACACACCAGCATATATACAAGGAAGCACATGGTTCAGGATAGTCTCTGCACTGTCTTGCATCTACCTACACCCAGCTGGCTGGAGAGAAGTAGTAGCTACATAAACCAATGTGCAGAAATCCTGCTAACCTGTAACACAGCTCTGGTTCCTCCTTTACATCTGAAACTCCCGTAGTAGTTGGTCCAGAAAAACACGCCTTTTTCAATGATGAGTTCAAAAGGAAAAACAAGAATGGGATCTATAAAGAGATACTAGCAGGAAAAAAAAAAAAAAGAGGAAATAATAAAAATTGAACAGCTAATACCCTGGAGGCCGCATAGCATAATTATTAATACAATAGAGTCTGGAAGCAGACTACCCAGTTACAAATCTCTAGAGAAAGTTAATTAACACCTCTGTGCCTCAGTTTCCTCAGTTTGTAAAATAGAGTTCAAGGGAATATCTACTGCATGGGGTTGTTAGGATGACTAAATGAACTCATGTTTGTAAAATGCTTAGAATAATGCCAAGTACAGAGTAAGTTCTATATAAATGTTAATTTTAAAATATGTAAATTGTGACTAAACATTTATCTTTATTGTGAAAAAACATTGGTCTTTATTTTTAAAAATATTTTAGTGGTGAGGTATTAAATGGTCTATGACAAGATGCCAAGCAGAAATACAACAATTAATGCAAATAATTGAAGAAATGAAAAGCTAGCATTGCTCAGAAAAATGGTGGGGAAAAACATCTCAAAAATAAAGGCAACACTAAGGCCAGGTATGGTGGCCTATGCCTGTAATCTCATCACTCTGGGAGGCCCAGGTCAGTGGATCACCTGAGGTCAGGAGTTCGAGACCAGCCTGGCCAACGTGGTGAAACCCCCATCTCTACTAAAAATAGAAAAATTAGCCGGGAATGGTGGCACGTGCCTGTAGTCCCAGCTACTCAGAAGGCTGAGGCACAAGAATCACTTGAACCCGGGAGGCGGAGGTTGTGGTGAGACAAAATTGTGCCACTGCTATTTCAGCCTAGGTGACAGAGCAAGACTGTCTCAAATAAAAGGTAACACTAGACAGATAATAAGGGAGAATGGACACTGTAAAATAAAGTAGGTACACAAAGTGTGTAAATGATGAAAGTGACAAAATAAAATTGAAATAAGAGAAAATTTCCAAAAGAATTGTAAATAAAATGACAACTATAGAAAACAGTCAAAAGAAATACAACACAGACTTTAGAGTTCTTTACTCAAAGCATAAAACTAAAATAATGCAACAGAAGAAACATTTCAAAGTGTAATTAAAGAATAAGTTCCTGAAATATGATTTCAAATCATTTGAACCTATTATTTGAAGACATGCATAATATATCAGGGAAAAATTACTCACTGTTGTCAACAGTGAGATATATCCTCATTAGTAACAAATGTTGAAGATAAAGCCTTTCATGGATAGCTGGCCGGAGGATTGGGATACTTATGAGGGGGAAATATAAGGCTAAATATACTTTTCTACGATATCATTCAGTACTGTAAGAGCGGCCCCAGCAAAATATTTTGCAAATAAAAAGTACAACCCAAAGATTTTATGCCCAGCTAACTTGCTATTTGAATATAAAAGTAACAAACTATATTTCTCATCTAATAACTCAGGCAATATGTAGAATCAAGACTAGAGAACCAAAAGGAAACTTTGGAAAAAGACTGGTGGTAGTAGTGAGAACTTTATGTCCCCATGCAATGAAGACCAAAGCAAATGTAGACATTAGGGTGACGGAACAAAGGTAAACTGTGGGTGTATGTGTGTGTGGGTGTGGGTGTATATAGTTTGACTAATAAAAATATGGAAGGTGGCCGAGCACGGTGGCTCATGTTTGTAAACTCAGCACTTTGGGAGGCCAAGGCAGGCAGATCACCTGAGGTCAGGAATTTGAGACCAGTCTGGCCAACATGGTGAAACCCTGTTTCAAGAATCACTTGAATCTGGGACGTGGAGGTTGCAGTGAGCCGAGCTTGCACCACCAGTGCACTTCAGCCTGGGTGACAGAGTGAGACTTTGTCTAATGTGTGTGTGTGTGTGTGTGTGTGTATATATATATATATATATATATATATATGTATATATATATATATTTATGTGTATATATATATATATTTATGTATATATATATATTTATGTATATATATGTCTATATATATGTGGAAGAAAAAAGAGAAAAACAGCAGAAAGTAAAGAATGCTGATTTCTCATCTATATTGATCAGAAATCAAAGAATATTATTTAGATTTAACAAACCAAGTAATAACATTGTAATTGTATTTAATGAACAAATGAAAACACTAAGAAAATTTATGTACTTTACTAAAATAGCATGATGGAGAAAATAAAGGAAGAGAAGGAAGATAGCAAAGTATATTATTTTCATCATTATCCATAGTAGGAAAGTAATAAATACTGTCCATGTAAATTAAGGCCTAAGGGTATAATATAGAGTAATAATTACAAAGGTAACTACTACAAAATAATTATATAAAATTTAAGAAAAAATTATATTCCTCCTAGAAAACAGAGAAAAGAAAAAGCTCAAGTTTAGAGATTTTAAAAAGCAAATAAAATAGAAAATATGGCATAAAATTATGCCAAACTTAATCTAAGCCCATTTTTATTGCATTAAACTAACATTAAAAATTGTTTAAAAGGCTTTCATGTTGGAGCATAAAACAAAGCTCAAGAGATACACCAAAAACAGAAAGGTTTTCAGAAATTTTGAAAGCAAACAAAATATAAATGCTGGGTAAAGGAAGTAAGTCTCTAAGAATGCCTACAGCACAATCTCCTTTATAAGAAATTCAAGGTAAGTAACATAGTGTTTTGGTAACCTTCACTGGGGACTAAAGTCTTTGATCAAAAAGGCAGGCTAGTGGCACCTCTGAAGGAAGGTGAGGGAGTGGACTCTGGAGGAGCTGAGAGAACTCAAAAGGGCTGGCTTGTTCTGAATTTAGTGTAAAAAGATGTCCTCATTCTGGAAGACATTTCTTTTTCAGTAGAGAAGTCTCTTTTCTAAATACAGACTGACTATGGTATACCTGAAACTCATTAGTGTTTATTTTGGCAGGGTGTGTGTGTGTGTGTGTGTGTGTGTGTGTTTTCTTATTAAGCTATTCTCCAAAAAAGACTAGGTGCTAAGGCCTAAAAGAGTACAAAGTAGGTACAGAGATGGTATCTTCAATTCATGTTTAGGTTGTAGATGCTGAGATTTGTACCTACTGAAAACCAACCTGAACTGGACAATTCATGTGCCTTGTACAACATTATTCAAAACTGAATAAGACAGATTTAAAAAATCATACTCTCAAATTTTTCTCAGATATATATTATGAACTGAAGTTCAGGTGACTTCCTGAGGATAAATTTAGTGCTATATTTAGGATACTGGGCCCTTGGGTAGCTAGCTGGAGCACCAATTTTTAAGGTGGGCTAAACCATCAATAAAACAAATAGAAAAAGGTTTCATCACGTTATGCAGTTCCTTCCAGGACCAATGAAGGAGATTTTCTTGCTCCTGACAAAACAGATGTCAATCATGAGTGAGAAGGTATTTTAAGTTTCTTGCCTATAATGTCAAATACATAAGAATATTATTTTATATTTAAACTATATATTAATTTCCTCCTTTGAACTTAACAAGATACTTAGTCTTTTTATTAATTAAAAAAAAAGTCCCTATTAAATAAGTGTGGAATACTTAAAAATAGCAGTTTGTAGCCTAGCCAAAATTTTTGCTTTTTGGGAGTCCAGCCAGAATTTTAGCTTGTTGAGAGTACTGCACGGCTGCATGGGATTCTGGTAGGGGTGAAGGTTTCCTCCTAAAGAAATTAGCATGCCCTCTGTCAATCATCCTGGGAAGAGTGAATTCCTGATGGGGAGGGTAACCTCTAATAACAGGTGTTAGCTGAGAGTGAGAGAAAACTACTTCCCCACTTCTACCAACTTGTAATGAGATGGCTTCTCTGGTACAGAGCCAGGCACAAGTGTCAATCCTGGGGAGTACTGACCCCTTCCACGTAACAGTGGACCGAGAAGAATGCCCAAAAGAGGACCTCTGTGGGGTCTGAGGACTGTGGATTCTAGGAGCAACTGAAGCTAGCATTGAGTGTTAAGTTTTCTGTTTATCTCAGGCCTTTAGTGATTGTATGAATATTATAACAATGTCTCAGCTCTTGCTACAGTGAATTATGGAAGGAATCTCTGCCTAAGCTTGGGTACTGTGGTCTAGGGTAGAAGAGAGAAGCAGGAGGGAAACTGGGTCTCCAGATGTCAATAAGTTGCCTTCCAAAGACGAGCAGAGGTCCTGACCTATGTGAAAAGGAATACAGCCACAATTTGAACCCAAACAATAAGACTGCAAAGCTCCTTCTCTGAATCTCTGTTCTCTGCTTCTTCTGAAATTGGCAAAGATTGTATTCCCAAGTAAAATGGAATGTCAGATCCACTACAGAGATCTGATCAGTAGAGCAAAGTGTGACATTACAGGCATGTGAGAGGAAAATAGAAGAAAAAACCAAGTCTCAGAGAAATTAAATAACTGGCCCAAACTTGCAAGAATTTGAAGCCAGGCCTGTTGGACTTCAAAGCCCATGCTCTTAATAATTTCAACAAATAATATCTTCACCCATCTCACTCACAGGGGTGTTGTAAAAATCAGACAAGGGCGATTTAAAATGCACTTAAATAACTATACAATGTGATATAAATATGTGCTGTATAAATTATATTATACAGCTACAACCTGCTGGGCTTCACTGTAGAGAGAAAGAGAAGATAACTAAATCAGAGTAGGTACAAATCGGTCAGAATGCAGTTGAAGTTTTCCTCTTCCTGCCTTCTTGAGGACAGAAACATTTTCAGTGCCAAACAATTCCCCAAAGGTCAGCAAATTCATTTAAGGTCCTATGTCTTCCCTGCTCCCCTGCCCCAAACCTCCTTGCCTCTCAAAATCACATTCACATGATGAAAACTACTTCAAATCTCACCTCTCCTGGAAAACTTTTATTTTGATTTTTTAAACTTATTTTTTTAATTGACAAATAAAAAAATGTATACAGTTATGGTGTAAAACATGTTTTGGTAAATGTATGCATTATGAATGACCAAATCAAGCTATTTAACATATGCATTGCCTTACAAACTTTTTTTTAAATTTTTTTTTTTTTTTTTTTTTTTTGAGATGGAGTATCACTCTGTTGCCCAGGCTGGAGTGCAGTGGCGCAGTCTCAGCTCACTGCAAACTCCACCTCCCAGGTTCACACCATTCTCCTGCCTCAGCCTCCCAAGTAGCTGGGACTACAGGCACCCACCACCATGCCCAGCTAATTTGTTGTATTTTTAGTAGAGATGGGGTTTCACTGTGTTAGCCAGGATGGTCTCGATTTGCTGACCTCATGATCCGCCCGCCTCAGCCTCCCAAAGTGCTGGGATTATAGGTGTGAGCCACCGTGCCCAGCTCCTACAAACTTATTTTTTGTGTATAGTGAGAACACTGAAAATCTGCTCTCTTAGCAATTTTCAATTATACCATGTATCGTAATTGACTATAGCCACCACGACATATGTATTAGTCTGTTTTCATGCTGCTATAAAGAAATATCTGAGACTGGGTAATTTATAAAGAAAAGAGGTTTAACTGACTCACAGTTCCACATAGCTGGAGAGGCCTCAGGAAACTTACAGTCATGGCAGAAGGTGAAGAGGAAGCAAGGACCTTCTTCAAATAGTGGCAGGAGAGAGTAGAATGAAGGAGCAGGGAAAACTGCCTTATAAAACCATCGGATCCTGTGAGAACTCACTCACTAGTACTAGAATAGCATGGGGGAAACCGCCCTCATGATCCAGTCACCTCCTACACTTGACACAGGGGGATTACAGATCCCTCCCTTGACACATGGGGATTACAGTTTGAGATGAGATTTGGGTGGGGACACAGAGCCAAACCATATCAACATATACTCGATCTCTTGAAATTATTCCACCTAACTAAATTTTGTGTCTTTCAACCAACATCCCTCTTCCTCCCAACCCGCAGCCTCTGGTAACTGCCTTCTACTTCTGTTCCTATAAGTTTGACTTTTGTATATTACACATACAGCTATAAGTGAGATGAGGCAGAATTTATCTTTCTGCGACTCCAGAGATTAAATGACTGTGCTACCACTCTGCTGATTCCTACCTCTAATCTCATGTATTGTGATGTCCCTTTTCTTTTTCCCTCCACTAAACTATACACTCTTTTGAGGACAGAGACCAAGTCTTCTTCTTCATTAAACAGCCAGGCCAGAACAATGCTTCAAAAACCTATTAGACATTTAATCATGGTTGAACAGACACATGGCTTTGTCTAAACTATCTGAGCATATGTGCAGGCATACCTGGTTTTATTGCACTTCACAGATATTTTTTTACAAATGAGGATTGGTGGCAGTCCTGGATTGAGCAAGTGTATTGATGCCATTTTTCCACATGCACATGTTCACCTTGTGTCTCTGCCTCACATTTTGGTAAGTCGCACAATATTCCCAATGTTGTCATTATTTTTATATCTGTTACGGTAATCTGTGATCAGTGATGTTTGGTGTTACTGTTGTAATTGTTTTGGGGTGTCATGACTCATACCCATAGAAGATGGCAAGCTTAATCGATAAATGTGTGTGTGCTGACTATTCCACCAAGTAGGCATTTCCTCATCTCTCTCCCTCTGCTTGGGCCTCCCTAATCCCTGAAACAACAACAATATTAAAATCAGTCCAATTAATAACCCTTAATGACCTCTAAGTGTTCAAGTGAAAGGAAGAGTTGTGCATTTCTCAGCTTAAATCAAAAGCTAGAAATGATTAAGCTTAGTGAGGAAGGCATGTCGAAAGCTGAGCTACATTGAAAGCTAGCGCTCTTGCACCAAACAGTTAGCCAAGTTGTGAAGCCAAAGGCAAAGTTCTTGAAGGAAATTAAAAGTTCTACTCCAGTGAACACATTAAAGATAAGAGAGTGAAATAGTCTTATTGCTGACAGAGGTTGAGCATCTCAAATCCAAACATTCAAAATGTGAAATGTTCTAAAATCTGAAAATTTTTGAGTGCCAACATGATGCTCAAAGGAAGTGCTCACTGGAGCATTTGAGATCTCAGATTTTTGAATTTGGGATGTTCAACCAATAAGTATGATGCAAATATTCCAAAATCTGAAAAACTCTGAAATCCAAAATACTTCTGATCCCATGGATTCCAAATAAGGGATACTCAACTTGTATGGAGAAAATTATAGTGGTCTGCATAGATGAAAGGAGCCACAACATCCCTTAAGTCAAAGCCTACTCCAGAGCAAGGCCCTAATTCTCTTCAATTCAAAGCTGACAAAGAAGCTGCAGCAAGTTACCCAACAGATCTAGCTAAGATCATTGATTAAGGTGGCTACACTAAACAACAGATTTTCAATGAAGATGAAGCAGCCTTATATTGGTAAAGATGCCATCTAGGACTTTGTAGCTAGAGAGGAGAAGACAATGGCTGACTTCAAAGCTTCAAAGGTCAGACCAATTTTCTTGTTAGGGGCTAATACAGCTAGTGACTTTAAGTTGAAGCCAATGCTCATTTAATATTCTGAAAATCCTAGGACCCTTAAGAACTACACTACCTCTACTCTGTGCTTTATAAATGGAATAACAAAACCTGAATGATAGCACATCTATTTACATATAAAACAAAGTATTCATTCTATGATATAATTGAAATACATTTGGAGTTCCTATCTGAAAACATTCTACTAAGCACTACAAAAGACAGAGAGAGAAGTAAATACGTAGGCAAGCATAGGCTCTATTGAGGTTAGAATTAAAATGACTATTGTATAAGAAATGAAAATGTTTACATAAGTCACCATAAGTCCATTAAAACAAAATAATGTTTTAAAGGAAGGGATTTGAAAAAAAAATCCAAAACTAAACCAAATGCTATAGAGAGTAAAAGGAAGGGTGGATTATAAATGATTGAGGGAATGTGGCAAGGCTCCATAGAGGAGGTGGTTTGGGTTGGCCTTAAAGGATAGTTAGTTAGAAGGTTTTTTCTTTTTTTTTTTTTTTTTTTCAATGTCCATAGGTTTCTATTCTCACCATCTTTCTGTTACAGGCGACAGGAATTTCAGAGAACTTTTCTAATCACAAGCTCTCCAGAGTCCATCTGCAATGCCATGTATTCACTAGACCCGATCCAGATCCTATTAAAACTCAGCATACTGCTTAGTATGCTGAGAAGAAAGCGCTCATCAGTTTGATGCAAACTTCTCAGATTGGGCAGCTACAATTAGAGTAAATACAACTGTTGTATCCTAGAGACCAAGGCCAGCTCCCTATGACTTTCCCTTGGTGTTGCCACAACTGCCAAATAGGGATGATTACAAATCTTGTTCCTTTCCACAAAAGGGCTCTTATGAACTGTAATGATAAAATATTGACAAAACACTTTTGAATTTGTGGTTAAGATATTCCTGGAATATCTCAATGAACGCAGAGTTTTGGGTTTAAAGATCAAAGAATGAGGTCTAATAAATGATGTATTTCAGTTTAAGGCTTAAATTATATCTTTCAGCCTCCACGATTCCTGGAATTATTCTTTGTATTCAGTTTTCTGCTAACAACTATTTGTGTGGTAGTTTTTTGAGAAACCATATTACTGGATTCTTAAATATCTTGTAAACTGCTCTCTATCTGCTAGTAAAGTTCTTCAGTGGTGATTGGATTAGATCTGTCTGAATATTTAATATCAGCAATACCCTTCATCGGTGGTAGTGAAATGCAAGGCAGGAGAAAAAATCCCTCTCACTGACTGTACAACTAAGCCTTCTGCCTGGTACCAACTGCACCAGTGAAACAGAAACTCAACAAATGCTTGGTAATCTTCATCTTTCTGTAATATCAACGAATATATCTTAAAACTTAGATAATTCGTATATGGTTTCTTTCACCCAAATAGCCATCAGAGAACTACAGGCATAACACAGAGATATTCAAAGTTTCTTTCCAGTCCACTAAAATAAAGCAGATATTACATTAAAGCATCACACAAATTTTTTATTTAATTCTAACCTCAATAGAGCCTATGCTTGCCTATGTATTTACTTCTGTGTCTCGTAGTGCGTAGCAGAATGTTTTCATATAGGAACTCCAAATGTATTTCAATTATATCATAGAATGAATGTTAAAGGATTTGGTCTGTCAATCATAAAACAATTCCCAGCTATGTTAATTTATACTAATTAACTCCTCCCAAGGAGTTGAAAAGTTAAAATAGTCTATAATGGTATTAATTTATTTACTTATTCAGCAGATTTTCTTGAACATTTATTATATAAGCCAGACAGTGGGAATATAGCAGAGTATAAAAAATAAAAGATGGTTTTGTTTTGTTTTGTTTTGTTTTGTTTGTTTCCTTGGGTATTTAGAAATCCTAAGGTAGTCAGTCCAGGGCTGTTCTATGGAGTAAAGCCTTGTCTAATTCAAACATATAAATCAATGCTGTAGCTCAATGTGTACCATTCATTAGATTGATGACTTGGAATGTCCTAGGTAGAAACAAAATCTGATAGTATTTTAGTCATTGTGAGGTGTAGATTTTCAATAGGGAAGGCATAACTTAGCAATGACATCATAAATGGTTCCTAGGCAGAAAAAAAAAAGAAACAAAATGACTTACACCAGTCCAGTCTATTTTTTTTAATTATGAAAATGATAGATTTCTTGGAAGGTCCTCCTAGGAATATTCCAGTCATATCTCATGGCCTGAAATGGATCCTATGGCCACCTGATATGGCAAAAGGGTCTGAGGAGATAATAAATTTTCATTGAGTATGTAATTATCCTGAACAAAATTTATTTTTGTTTCATTTTGTTTTAAGAAAGAAAGGGAGTGGGTAGGGTACAGGCTAAGGTGCTATAATTGAAAACCTCAAAGTGCAGTGGTATAAAAGTCTAGAGTTAAGTGGACACTCTAAGGCTAGTGGCATCTCTGCCTTCTTTAACTTATGGCCCCTACTTGTAGACCTAAGATGGCATTTCAGTCTCATTCTAAGCATCTGGAAAAGGAGAAGAAACCAGAGAAGTACACAAACAGTTATTTTAAGGACAAATCTCACAAATGATACCCATTAATTTTATTTACAAAGCATTGTCCAGAACTTAGTCATATGGCCATTTCTAGCTTCAAGGGAAGCTGGGAAATACAGTATTTAGCTGGGCATCCCTGTGTCTAGCTAAAACGCTATTAATTTGGAAGAAGGAGAAAAATGGGGGGGAGGAGCCAAGATGGCCGAATAGGAACAGCTCTGGTCTACAGCTCCCAACGTGAGCGACGCAGAAGATGGGTGACTTCTGCATTTCCATCTGAGGTACCAGGTTCATCTCACTAGGGAGTGCCAGACAGTGGGCGCAGGTCAGTGGGTGCGCGCACCGTGCGCGAGCCAAAGCAGGGCGAGGCATTGCCTCACTCAGGAAGCGCAAGGGGTCAGGGAGTTCCCTTTCCGAGTCAAAGAAAGGGGTGACGGACGCACCTGGAAAATCGGGTCACTCCCACCCGAATATTGCGCTTTTCGGACCGCCTTAAAAAACGGCGCACCACGAGATTATATCCCGCACCTGGCTCGGAGGGTTCTATGCCCACGGAGTCTCACTGATGGCTAGCACAGCAGTCTGAGATCAAACTGCAAGGCGGCAGCGAGGCTGGGGGAGGGGCGCCTTCCATTGCCCAGGCTTGCTTAGGTAAACAAAGCAGCCAGGAAGCTCCAACTGGGTGGAGCCCACCACAGCTCAAGGAGGCCTGCCTGCCTCTGTAGGCTCCACCTCTGGGGGCAGGGCACAGACAAACAAAAAGACAGCAGTAACCTCTGCAGACTTAAATGTCCCTGTCTGACAGCTTTGAAGAGAGCAGTGGTTCTCCCAGCACGCAGCTGGAGATCTGAGAATGGGCAGACTGCGTCCTCAAGTGGGTCCCTGACCCCTGACCCCAGAGCAGCCGAACTGGGAGGCACCCCCCAGCAGGGGCACACTGACACGTCACACGGCAGGGTATTCCAACAGACCTGCAGCTGAGGGTCCTGTCTGTTAGAAGGAAAACTAACAAGCAGAAAGGACATCCACACCAAAAACCCATCTGTACATCACCATCCTCAAAGACCAAAAGTAGATAAAACCACAAAGATGGGGAAAAAACAGAACAGAAAAACTGGAAACTCTAAAAAGCAGAGCGCCTCTCCTCCTCCAAAGGAACGCAGTTCCTCACCAGCAACGGAACAAAGCTGGATGGAGAATGACTTTGACGAGCTGAGAAAAGAAGTCTTCAGACGATCAAATTACTCTGAGCTACAGGAGGACATTCAAACCAAAGGCAAAGAAGTTGAAAACTTTGAAAAAAATTTAGAAGAATGTATAACTAGAATAACCAATACAGAGAAGTGCTTAAAGGAGCTGATGGAGCTGAAAGCCAAGGCTCCAGAACTACGTGAAGAATGCAGAAGCCTCAGGAGCCGATGCGATCAACTGGAAGAAAGGTTATCAGCAATGGAAGATGAAATGAATGAAATGAAGCGAGAAGGGAAGTTTAGAGAAAAAAGAATAAAAAGAAATGAGCAAAGCCTCCAAGAAATATGGGACTATGTGAAAAGACCAAATCTACGTCTGATTGGTGTACCTGAAAGTGATGGGGAGAATGGAACCAAGTTGGAAAACACTCTGCAGGATATTATCCAGGAGAACTTCCCCAATCTAGCAAGGCAGGCCAACGTTCAGATTCAGGAAATACAGAGAACGCCACAAAGATACTCCTCGAGAAGAGCAACTCCAAGACACATAATTGTCAGATTCACCAAAGTTGAAATGAAGGAAAAAATGTTAAGGGCAGCCAGAGAGAAAGGTCGGGTTACCCTCAAAGGGAAGCCCATCAGACTAACAGCGGATCTCTCTGCAGAAACCCTACAAGCCAGAAGAGAGTGGGGGCCAATATTCAACATTCTTAAAGAATTTTCAACCCAGAATTTCATAGAAAATCTAGAAGAAATGGATGAATTCCTCGACACATACACCCTCCCAAGACTAAACCAGGAAGAAGTTGAGTCTCTGAATAGACCAATAACAGGCTCTGAAATTGTCGCAATAATCAATAGCTTACCAACCAAAAATAGTCCAGGACCAGATGGATTCACAGCCAAATTCTTCCAGAGGTACGAGGAGGAACTGGTACCATTCCTTCTGAAACTATTCCAGTCAACAGAAAAAGAGGGAATCCTCCCTAACTCATTTTATGAGGCCAGCATCATCCTGATACCAAAGCCAGGCAGAGACACAACCAAAAAAGAGAATTTTAGACCAATATCCTTGATGAACATTGATGCAAAAATCCTCAGTAAAATACTGGCAAACCGAATCCAGCAGCACATCGAAAAGCTTATCCACCATGATCAAGTGGGCTTCATCCTTGGGATGCAAGGCTGGTTCAATATACGCAAATCAATAAATGTAATCCGGCATATAAACAGAGCCAAAGACAAAAACCACATGATTATCTCAATAGATGCAGAAAAAGCCTTTGACAAAATTCAACAACCCTTCATGCTAAAAACTCTCAATAAATTAGGTATTGATGGGACGTATTTCAAAATAATAAGAGCTATCTATGACAAACCCACAGCCAATATCATACTGAATGGGCAAAAACTGGAAGCATTCCCCTTGAAAACTGGCACAAGACAGGGATGCCCTCTCTCACCACTCCTATTCAACATAGTGTTGGAAGTTCTGGCCAGGGCAATTAGGCAGGAGAAGGAAATAAAGGGTATTCAATTAGGAAAAGAGGAAGTCAAATTGTCCCTGTTTGCAGACGACATGATTGTATATCTAGAAAACCCCATTGTCTCAGCCCAAAATCTCCTTAAGCTGATAAGCAACTTCAGCAAAGTCTCAGGATACAAAATCAATGTACAAAAATCACAAGCATTCTTATACACCAACAACAGGCAGAGAGCCAAATAATGAGTGAACTCCCATTCACAATTGCTTCAAAGAGAATAAAATACCTAGGAATCCAACTTACAAGGGATGTGAAGGACCTCTTCAAGGAGAACTACGAACCACTGCTCAAGGAAATAAAAGAGGATACAAACAAATGGAAGAACATTCCATGCTCATGGGTAGGAAGAATCAATATCATGAAAATGGCCATACTGCCCAAGGTAATTTACAGATTCAATGCCATCCCCATCAAGCTACCAATGACTTTCTTCACAGAATTGGAAAAAACTACTTTAAAGTTCATATGGAACCAAAAAAGAGCCTGCATCGCCAAGGCAATCCTAAGCCAAAAGAACAAAGCTGGAGGCATCACACTACCTGACTTCAAACTATACTACAAGGCTACAGTAACCAAAACAGCATGGTACTGGTACCAAAACAGAGATATAGATCAATGGAACAGAACAGAGCCCTCAGAAATAACGCCGCATATCTACAACTATCTGATCTTTGACAAACCTGAGAAAAACAAGCAATGGGGAAAGGATTCCCTATTTAATAAATGGTGCTGGGAAAACTGGCTAGCCATATATAGAAAGCTGAAACTGGATCCCTTCCTTACACCTTATACAAAAATCAATTCAAGATGGATTAAAGACTTAAACGTTAGACCTAAAACCATAAAAACCCTTGAAGAAAACCTAGGCATTACCATTCAGGACATAGGCATGGGCAAGGACTTCATGTCCAAAACACCAAAAGCAATGGCAACAAAAGACAAAATTGACAAATGGGATCTAATTAAACTAAAGAGCTTCTGCACAGCAAAAGAAACTACCATCAGAGTGAACAGGCAACCTACAAAATGGGAGAAAATTTTCACAACCTACTCATCTGACAAAGGGCTAATATCCAGAATCTACAATGAACTCAAACAAATCTACAAGAAAAAAACAAACAACCCCATCAAAAAGTGGGCAAAGGACATGAACAGACACTTCTCAAAAGAAGACATTTATGCAGCCAAAAAACACATGAAAAAATGCTCATCATCACTGGCCATCAGAGAAATGCAAATCAAAACCACAATGAGATACCATCTCACACCAGTTAGAATGGCGAGCATTAAAATGTCAGGAAACAACAGGTGCTGGAGAGGATGTGGAGAAATAGGAACACTTTTACACTGTTGGTGGGACTGTAAACTAGTTCAACCATTGTGGAAGTCTGTGTGGCGATTCCTCAGGGATCTAGAACTAGAAATACCATTTGACCCAGCCATCCCATTACTGGGTATATACCCAAAGGACTATAAATCATGCTGCTATAAAGACACATGCACACGTATGTTTATTGCGGCATTATTCACAATAGCAAAGACTTGGAACCAACCCAAATGTCCAACAATGATAGACTGGATTAAGAAAATGTGGCATATGTACACCATGGAATACTATGCAGCCATAAAAAATGATGAGTTCATGTCCTTTGTAGGGACATGGATGAAATTGGAAATCATCATTCTCAGTAAACTATCGCAAGAACAAAAAACCAAACACCGCATATTCTCACTCATAGGTGGGAATTGAACAATGAGATCACATGGACACAGGAAGGGATATATCACACTCTGGGGACTGTTGTGGGGTCGGGGGAGGGGGGAGGGATAGCACTGGGAGATATACCTAATGCTAGATAACGAGTTAGTGGGTGCAGCGCACCAGCATGGCACATGTATACATATGTAACTAACCTGCACAATGTGCACATGTACCCTAAAACTTAAAGTATAATAAAAAAGAAAATAAAAAAAATTAAAAAAAAAGAAAAGAAAAATGAAGATGGGGGTGGGAGGACCAGAAGTTTTACCAAAGACATCTCTTTTCCTTTCATGCACTCAGGGATCCTACAGTCAGCAACCCCTAGACAAAATCATTCAACAATCTAAAACATGATTGTGTTGGCACCTAGCTTCTGGTTCTCCATCTTATACAAATAAATAGTCAACGAGGAAAGAATAGGCTCATTTGCTCCTTTATCTAATCATTAAATACATACTGAGCCCCAAATTCCCAGCTAAAACCCAAAGAACCAAGATCTAAAGAGGAGAACATTGCAGAAAGATGAGCATAAACAGCACATGAAGGTATGAAAGGTCAAATGAGCTCAGAGGAGGATAAAATTGGTTTGAGGGCTCCTATGGGGAAAAGATTTAAAGATAGGTTAAAAACAGCTGTCGGCCGGGTGCAGTGGCTCACACCTGTAATCCCAGCACTTTGGAAGGCCGAGGTGGGTGGATCACCCGAGGTCAGGAGTTCAAGACCAGCCTGACCAATGTGGTGAAACCCCCTCTATTAAAAATACAAAAATTAACCAGGCATGGTGGCACATGCCTGTAATCCTAGCTACTTGGGAGGCTGAGGCAGGAGAATTGCTTGAACCTGGGAGGCAGACATTGCAGTGAGCTGAAATTGCACCACTGCACTCCAGACTGGGCAACAAGAGTGAAACTCTGTCTCAAAAAAACAAAACAAACTATGGAGTTGGAATTTATTTCTTTAAGCAATACAAAGCTATAAAGACTTTGTAAATATGAGACAGCATTATCTGAACATGTGTTCTTGGAAGATTACCCTGCCAGTAGTACAATTATTTGCTGCTAAGTGGAACTGAGGTTGAGCAGGGACTCATAGCATTACAATGGTCCATGTGGGAGGTGATGAGGGGCTTCAGTTGGGAGGAAGAAAGCAAAAGTGGGAGATGCAAATATATCAGGGACAGAACTTAGCAACTCACTCTATCTGAGGAAACAGAAGAAGATGAAGCAAATCAGACTGGCTAATCTGTATGACTCGGGGTCTGGTACTGATATTGAGTAGAGGGTAGAAACACAGAAAGAATGGGTGTATGGGGAAAATAGTGAGTTCAGTCTTTACGTTTGAGATCTCATGAGGTGTCTGTGCAATAACTACAATATGTAACTAATAAAAAGGAGCATTTTATGCTATTTCACAGTTTGTAGCAACTGTGGGTATTCTCACATTGTTCTGGGAAAGTCTCCCAACTCAACATTTGCCTGCACTCGTTGTAAGCCCTTGAGAGACATTCAGGAAATTCCATGTGCTTATGACTCTAAAGTGCACACCCAGGAAAAGATATGTTATAATGCACTGTGTAAAGTCAGGGCTATACTATGCTGACAATAGGCCTGAAGAAGCCTGCAGCCCTCTAAGGACTTGCTCTAGGATATACCATATGTGGGCATAGATTCCATGAAGAATACAAACACACCTAAGGGCAGATTTGGAACTTGCACCCAACAGTACAGGATATAGTGACATCCAGCTAAAAGAGAAAAAGGAAAGGAAAGAAGGAAGGAAGGAAGGAAGGAAGGAAGGAAGGAAGGAAAGAAGGAAGGAAGGCCGAGAACACACCAAAAAGCCAGCAAGCTAGTTGTGTCTCTAGGAACCCAGTGGATAGTTTTATAATAATACTGCATCAAATTTCATTAAGCTCAAGATCTAAAAATCATCAACAATTTCATCATAAGATGGAATTTGAGGCCGGGTCCCGTGGCTCATGCCTGTAATCCCAGTACTTTCGGAGGCTGAGGCGGGCGGATTACCTGAGGTCGGGAGTTAGAGACCAACCTGGCCAACATGGTGAAACTCCATCTCTACTAAAAATACAAAAATTAGCCGGGCATGATGGTGGGCGCCTGTAATCCCAGCTACTTGGGAGGCTGAGGCAGAAGAATCGCCTGAACCCGGGAGGCAGAGGTTGAAGTGCAGTGCAGCACGCCACTGCACTTCAGCCTGGGCTACAGAGCGAGACTCCACCGAAAAAAAAAAAACAAAAAACCATGGAATTTGAGGCTCAGCCCCTAAAAGTCAGGAACACTGAACCTATACATAAATGTGTACCATAATAGAAGACCAACATCAAAGAGGATTTATCCTAAATCAAACTCTCTCTTCCTTCATATGTCTTTACACACCATATCTGACTTAGGTCATGTTCCTTTTGACATTCCCTTGTCTATTCTTCTGTTTTTCCTATCACTTTCCAACTTAGGCATTTCTGTTTTCCCTTACAGCTGGACTGGCATTCTAGCTCATCCTGGGTCTTTCTTTGTCTGGTTGGCTGCATTTGGAAGGACCTTGCTGAACTTGACCTCTGGTTATGCTCTGAAACTGTTCTCTTAAAAAGCTACCATGGAGTGGTCCTGCCAGCCCTGGCAATGTCTCACCACCTGTGCATCAGTGCCAGCCAAGTTGGAAGATAGGATGGATGCCTGCACACTTAAATTTTTAATTGTTGACATCTCTAAGTCTGGAAGTAATTTTGTCAATAATGTATTAGAGTTACATAGCTAGATTATTCTACAGTAAGTTTATGGGGTATACTCAGTTTATTTCATTCAATAAATTGTATAATAAACACAGATCCAGAAATGGTGTTGAGTGATGAGATTATATTGATGAAAAGACACAGTGATTGCCTTCAAAGAGATCATATTCCGGTATGACAATATTTAAGAATTGTAATATATTGTGTTAAGTTTCATAATAGGAGTTTGCAGTTTTTGTCACCTTCTCACCTTTCTCACTTGCCTCAGATAAGAGACAAATCATAGTCTCCAGTAGATTCGCTATATTTGTTATAATTGATTAGAAGACTTGATAATGAGAGAAGTCCAAACATGCTACTTTTCATGAGCTTTGTTTTTCTAATTAAACATGCATCATACTATATCAATGACTAAAACAGCAATTTTTAATATTTGTTCAGAGGCCGGGCACAGTGGCACATGCCTGTAGGCCCGGCACTTTGGGAAGCTGAGGTGGGCAGATTGCATGAACCCAGGAGTTAGAGTCCAGCGTGGGCAACATGGCAAGACCCCATCTCTACAAAAATACAAAAATTAGCTGGGTGCAGTGGCTTGGGCCTATATCCCAGCTACTTGGAAGGCTAAGATAGGAGGATACTCTGAGCTAGGGAGGTCGAGGCTGCAGTGAGCTTGTGCCACTGCCCTCCAACCTGGGTGACAGAGTGAGACCTTGTCTAAATAAAATAAAATAAAGTTTATTCAGGAATCTCAGTCGGTGGGGGGGAATGGAGTCTTCCAATGTATTTGAGAGGATCTTCAGGTCAGTACCATTTTCATGATCAGAATTTTTGACATTTTCTCTCTCCTCCTTAGTGCCATGTTTATTAAACAAATTTTATAATAAATACAGATCCAGGAATGGTATTGGACAATGATGTAAAACTGATGAAATGCAGTGGTTTTCCAGAGACCATGTGAAGTGTGATATTGTAAAAAACAAAAAAAATGCAGAGTAGATATTCTAGACAGTAAAGGGATTTTTCAAAAATGTTAAAAAGCTTGTTTTCACATAAGGGAAGGAGAAAGAATAAAATTATATTTCTTGGCAATCTGGAAAAACTTCCAGGAGGAGGTGAGGACCAGATTCTTTGACCATTGGTATGTCACTAGCTATATATTATAGTTTATATATATCTACTTCCTTGGGATCAACAGTGCAACATAAGAAGTTTCTAAAATATTAAGTAGGAAGCAGATGGAGATTCCTTTAAGTTCAATAGTCAAAGAGCAAATAAGAGGTCAATGCTGACTCCCCAGGCACAGCCCCAGTGAGATGCTTTTTGATCTGAACAATAACTCTATTGTAATTAACACAATTGCTGCATATATTCTTTTCTCAATTTATGGGCACAAGTCCCATGGAGTTAAAGGGATTTCAGTGCATGTGTCAAGGGAATATCATAGTAGCCTGAATTATTAACCTATATATTTATCAAAACCTTTTTACAAAGGGCTCTCTATATTTTTTAAAATTTGTATAACTTTGCAATTTTATATTTCAAATAAAAAGTTTTATTTGCACCTATCTATAATAAGAAACATTGCAAATTATTTTGAAATGAGGTTGTATATTGACAACATTCAGAGTATGCTGAATTTGTGCATTAACTCCATAATTGTCCCCAAGAAATCAATAAACAGATATTGCTCTTACATGAGACAGAAATTTCTCATGAAAGCCAGAATGATTTTAACATTTGAATAATGAAAGCTTCTATTTAAATGCCATATTGCAGTTCAAATAACTCTTTAAGTCTGTAGAAAAACATGTACATGAATATTCACAGCAGCTATATTCACAATAGCCAAAAGTAGAAAATGATCCAAATGTCCATCAACAGGTGAATGGGTGAAATATACATCCATATAATAGAATACTACTCAGCAATTTAAAAAGTATCGCTGTTACAACAAATAAAGAAATTTCAAAAATCATCATGCTGCATAAAAGGAGCCAGACACAAATAGTACATATGGTATGATTTCATTTATATAAAATTCTAGAAAATGTAAACTAATCTATACAGATAGAAAGAAGATTGGTGATTTCAAGGGGGTAAAGGGAAGAGGAGCAGAAGGAAGGATGAACTGCAACGGAGTACAAGGAATCTTTTGGAGTGAAGAAAATATCCTATAACTTAATTATGGTAATGGTTTCACAGGTGCAGACCTTGTCAGAACTCATCAAATTGTGTTCTGTAAATGGATTCAGTTTACTGGGCATAACTTTGTATTAGGCCATTCTTTCATTGCTATAAAGAAATACCTGGGACAGTAATTTATAAAGAAAAGAGGTGCAATTGGCTCACAGTTCTGCAGGCTTTACAAGAAGCATGGTTGCTGGCATCTGCTTGGCTTCTAGCAGGCTTTCAATCATGGTGGAAGGCAAAAGGGGAAGCAGGCACATAACTCAGAGAAAGCAAGAGAGAGAGAAAGAGAATGGTGGGGGGAAGTGCCACACACTTTTAAATGACCAGAATTCATGAGAACTCACTCTCACGAAGACAGAAGCAAGCCATGAGGGATCTGCCCAGATGATCCAAATGCCTCCCAGCAGGCCCCACTTCCACCCAGCATTGGGGATTACAATTCAACATGAGATTTGGGCGGGGACAAATATCCAAACTATATCAACTTATACCTCAATAACGTTGATTTTTTAATGTACTTTAACACAAATAAACTCATTTGCTCATCTAAACAATCCTGTGACATAGGAAAGAAAAATTGTAATCTTATTTTGTCAATAGAGAAACTGGGTCTTGAGAAATGCAACAGCTTGACCATGGCTAATAACTCTCAGAGTTTCAGAAGATAGTTGTAAAGGATGGTGATTTTTAAATGTTTTCATGTGAGTTTTTTCTTTTTGTTATTTTTGTCAAGTGTAATATTCTATAGAAACCCATTGTATAAAACAGCAAAAGCTGGGCTGCTCCGATTGGAGCAGAGATGGCTATGAGTGGGCCTGGAAGTGCTACCCCTTCCAGGGAAGGCAGGGCAGGGATGGTGCCACAGGGTCCTACACGATTTGAACTCCCTGAGGTGATGCAACCAACATGGATTCTGATCACAGACTTCTACTCTGTCGCTTTCTAGCTTGAAAGCCTATATTTGCAAATGAGGTAAGTGTATTCACAGGATTAGTCACAGAATTTTTCAGTGCTTATGCCATTTTCTTTATTTCTTTCTCTCTCTCTCTCTCTTTCTTTCTTTCTTTCCTTTTCTTTTTTGAGACAGAATCTCACTCTGTTGCCCAGCCTGGAGGGCAGCGATGTGATCTTGCCTCGCTGCAACCTCTGCTGCCTCCCGGGTTCAAGCGATTCTCTTGCCTCAGCCTCCCAAGTAGCTGGGATTACAGGCGCCTGCCACCATGCCCGGCTAATTTTTGTATTTTTAGTAGAGACAGGGTTTCACCATGTTGGCCAGGCTGGTCTTGAACTCCTGACCTCATGATTCACCCACCTCGGCCTCCCAAAGTGCTGGGATTACAGGGGTGAGCCACAGTGCCCGGCCACTTATGCCATTTTCTTAGTTCCTGTTTTATATAGTTTATGTGTTTTATTTTGTCATTCTGATAATTTACTGCTTAACATAATATAATAGTATCTAAGTGTTGGATATTTTGAATACTCCCAAGAATGCTGGAGATGAAGAAAATCCCACTCAACAATGTTTCATGAAACTAATTACCTGGGAGAATTCATGAAAGTTGGGCCAGTGGTGTTAAATCAGCAGCAGTAGGAAAATCACTAAGCTAAACCTGAGCTTTATCTTTGACTCCTATCTCTCCCATGTCTAGTCAGTCACTGCAACAAATTCACCCAAGTGATTTTCACTTGAGTAGTTCAAATTATCTTTATCTCCATGGTCATCACCATCATTCAGACCAACCAATGTCCTTCTCTATGACAGTCAAGGTCCAGCTTCAATCCACATACAATTTAGTCCCCACAGTACAGCCAAAATAATCATTCCAAAAATGCAATCAATTCCTGCTGGTCCTCTGTGTAAAATCTTCTCAAGGTTCTCAGTTCCCTTCAGGAAAATCTCCAAGCTTTCTCTTAGAGTTTGCAGGGTCCTAGTGAATAGGACTCTGCTGATCTCTCAGCAACATCTTTTCTTTTTTTTTTTTTTTAGACAGAGTCTCACTCTGTCACCCAGGCTGGAGTGCAGTGGTGCCATCTCGGTTCACTGCAACCTCTGCCTTCTGGGTCCAAGCGATTCTTCTGCCTCAGCCTCCCGAGTAGCTGAGACTATAGGTGTCCACCACCACGCATGGCTAATTTTTGTATTTTTAGTAGAGATGGGGTTTCACCATGTTGGCCAGGCTGATCTCAAACTCCTGACCTTGTGATCCACCCACCTCGGCCTCCCAAAGTGCTGGGATTACAGGTGTGAGCCGTCGTGCCCAGCCTCAGCAACATCTTTTATCACATGCAACCTTACACTTTACCCTTCTGGCAAAATGAAACCTGTTTGGTTCCTCAAACACGTGACTTATTGGCTTCCCAACATGCTACTACTTCCTCCCCCAAACGTGCTACCTACTCCTCTTCATCTGACCTATCTCCTCTTCATCACCCATTCATGCTTCACCTTAGCTCTCACTTCTTTTGCAGGCCTTCCTTCCTGCCTTTTATCTCAGCCACAAGCTCCTCCTAAGACTGAATTCTTTTTTGCAACATAGTATTTATAGCCATATTGTATTAGCCATTTGTTAATTATAATACTCTTTGTGCCCATGTTATCTCCCTCAGAATTATAAACTCCTCGACAGAAACATATCTTGCTTTTTCATCACTTTCTCCCCAACATCTAGCATAGAGCCTGACACAGAGTAAGCACTCAATAAATATTTCTCGAGTGAATTGACTGAATAAGCCATACAAATGGCCAGAGTGGATGGCCCTAGACTGCTTGTTGGTGCCAGATTTAGCTAACATATGTGCAGTAGATGGGCCACATTGCTTTCTTTCAAAATGAAGGTAACAGAAAATAAGTGTGGGTTCATGATTCAACATCTCTTCCGGTTGAATATTACATGGAATCGGTGAATCTAGTTCAAACCCCAAAGTTTTAATCCTTGTAAGAAGAATATACAGAAACAGTGTCACTTTCCAAGATATTCTTTCCCTGACAAGAAGGATTTTCTAGCACTTTAATCCATAAAGCACCTCTGTGATTAGATTTCAGATTCACTGTCGGTAAAAAGGCCCTATCCAAGGAGACTAACGCACGAAGGTTAAAGATGAAAAATACTGGTTAATTTTTAAGCATGTTAGGATAATTGGGCCCAACATGAGTAAATTGCTTTCATATGAAAGGCTTTGAGCAATTGTTAAATTATAAACATTGAAAATACATTTTCTGCATCCAATCTAAAAAGAAAAGGTTTCCATTTGTACAGCAAATTAGATTCAGGTATTTCTATAGGTCAGCATTTTCTTTCCTTTTCTTTTCTTTTCTTTTTTTTTTTTTTTAAGCAGGGGAAGCTCTTCTGGTACTTGCTGTGTCTGATTCAAAGATGGAAAGGATTTGGTGACTGCGGAAGCCTTTGCCTTGCACTTGTCCCACAGCAATTACGCTGGAAGGGGTCCTAGACTTGTGGGGTGTGGGATGTGGGATAAATTTGGAGAAAGACCACAGTATGTAAACAAAACCTGCCGGTTTTCCAAAATACCTAACCACAAGACTTCACATTTTGGCAGCTAGAAAGAGTCAAATATGCTTTATTCTGAGAACAAATTTTATTCTCAGCGGGGAGAAATATGAATCCCAGTTCAAGCAAGAAACTACCAATAACCAAAATTAAAGGAATTTCGAAATATAGCCTCTGTAGAAAAACCTAGCAAGCCCACATAGTGAGACAATATTAATCAAGAAACTGATGACATCAGTAGAATCCTTGAAGTGTGTGTAGATGTTCAAAATCCTTCAGGCTAAAATCTATGGAAGAAGAGTTATTTCTGGACAGATTATTAGCATTAAACTGGTTACTTTATGTTAATGAAATCTTCTAACTTGCAACATAAATCAAATGACAATGTGAGTCTTTAATAATATGATTTTTAAGTTTGTAATGTTCTTAAAAAATTATATGTCATTGTTATATGGCTTGGCCCATCAGACACTTTAAAACAATTAGAAAGTCAAAAATAGATCATCTATTTGAAAACATGATTATATTTTCCTAGAATTTCAATATTGTTGCTGATTAGAGAAAACAACTGGTTCAAATCCCAAATAGCTCTAAAGTTGTAGGATATCCACGCCTATAGGTCTTACTGACAACTCACATTTCAAGACGGCCAGGGAAAATGTTCATCTCTGCCTTTTGAAAGGAAATGGGCTGCAGGGTCTTCTTCCTGAGCTGGAGCTATCTTCCAGAGCTATCTTGCCAAGTCTGGAGATCCAAGGAAAGGTAAAAGTTCAGTTGACTTTAGGCGTACTGATGGCATTGCTTTGATTCATTTTCAGTCAGAGAAAAGGGGAAGTATGGACTAAGTGGTGTATGGTACCTTTGCTAAAATTCGAGGTTCAGAAGTGGGTTCTTTAAAATTTCCATAAAGCAAGCAGAGGGTGGGAGCATCTCCAGTTACTATCTCAGAAGGGACTTAGGAACTATAGGTTAGGAACTCTAACTATAAATAATATTGATTTATTAAAATCCTATAGTGATTAGAGATAAAATGCTTTTTTAAAACAGTACATTCATTCACTGATTCTCCCATTTATTCAAGAAATATTTGCTGAATGCTTACTATCAGCCCTTGCCTGGTGTTAACTCATCTGGCATTGAGGATACAACAGTGAACAAAAATGAGACATTCTCTACCCTCATGGAACTAGTCACTGGTTTTCTGTTTGTTTGTTTGTTTGTTTTCTGTTTTGAGACAGTCTCACTGTGTTACCCAAGCTGGAGTGCAGTGGCACAATCTCAGATCACTGCAGCCTCCGCCTCCCGGGTTCAAGCCCCCCGCGTAGCTGGGATTACAGGCATGCACCACCATGTCCAGCTATTTTTGTATTTTTAGTAGAGACGGGGTTTCTGCATGTTGGCTACGATGGTCTCAAACTCCTGGCCTTCAGCCATCTGCTCACTTTGGCCTCCCAAAGTGCTGGGATTACAGGCATGAGCCACTGTGCCCAGCCTAGTCACTGTTATTAATGGCAGGTGTGTAATATATATGCATGAGTGTATGTAGATAAAGATATAGAGATAGAGAGACACAAACTCAGAATTTAAATACCCTCCACTTTTTGGCAGGAAGCCCCAAAGAGTTGAAGAGGAAGAGAGCCATGCTTCCCACCTTCCCACTGTGGAAATTAAGGGGAAATAATCACTCTTTTCCCATCTCCCAGCACCCAAGACCAGACATGCTCTACTCAAGGAATTTGAGCTTTGAGAGTGCATGACAATAGCTCAGAAGCAATAGAAACTTTTCAAGAATTCTGGTACTAAAAGAGTTCTGAATTCAGCAGTCTCAATGGTGAGGTTCTGAACAGACACGAACCCTGGTGTGGTCTGGCTTATCTTGCAGCGGCTTAGCCTCGGGCTTTCTGCCAATTTCCCTTCCTTGATTTCTCGGCAATCTCATCTATCTCTCTCCTATACCTTTTAATGCTCCAGTTTAACAAAGTTGCTTTCCTTGATTTCTCGGCAATCTCATCTATCTCTCTCCTATACCTTTTAATGCTCCAGTTTAACAAAGTTGCTGTTTGATGTTTGCCACCAATAATAGTGACTAGTAGAAGGAGACATTAAACAAACAGTGATGGCATTATTAATTAATTCTAATCATCATAAGTGCTATGAAGGAAAGGTGTTTTTTTTTGTTTTTGTTTTTGTTTTTGGTAGCAAGCAAGAAGATATCTGAGAAGCCTGAGACCCATGCCACAGTTCCCCCAAAGGAGCAAGGGAATGCTGGAAGTTACTGAAGGAGAGGAAAGCATGTAGAATCCCTGGATCCAAGGCAAAGGAAGAAAGCACTAGAATTCAACTTGGGTCTGCAAAAATGAACCACAGGAAGACCTAGACAGGCTTTGGCATCGCTATCATGGTAACCTTTGCTACTCATAAACAACAATTCACAAGAACCTCAGGAAAGATTTGTATTGCTCCCATAACTTCTACACCAAATCCTGATAGGTTATGACTCCTCCATTCACATGATGATAGCCCAGTGCAGGTCCCATCACTTCTCCTCTGGAATCCCATCCCAGATCCTGGCCTTCCACCTTTCAAATCTCTCCTTCTTTTTGCCAGCCAAGAGATTACTCAAAAATACCTAGTATGTTCATGTATGTGATCATGTCAATTCTCTTCCTTAAGTCCTTCAGGGCCACTCAATCACCTAAAGAAGTTCATGCTCCCTAACAGACATAAAAGCACCCCATAATGTGGTCCTGACTGCTTCCCCGGTCTTGCTTCTACCTCTCACCACCTGCAACTTTGCATTCTAGCAACATTGCACTGCTTGAAATTCTTCAACCAGACCAGGTGGTTCCATGTCTCTGTGCCTTTGCTCATGTACTGGGTCCTCTGGACCTGAAACACCCTTTCTCCTACCCCTCTCCATTCTCCCCACTAATTCATCTTTAATGAGTGAGCTCAGATTTCATCTTTTCATTCAAGAACTTTCTTGGAGCCCCTGGGTTGAATAAGGAGCTCCTTTAATAACATGTATATACTTCTATCATAACACCACATTTTATTGAAATAATCTTTTTATGTCTTGGACTTACCCATTAAACTATTAATTCCTAGGGGAAGAAAAAGGTTGTGCCTAATTTATTTTGATATTTTCAGCACCTAGCAAAGTTCCAGCTGAAAATTAGGCTCTTATAAAATATGCTAAACTAAATTATGTGTATAATGTTCTCATTAACATCAGCTACCAAATTATAACTTCTGGCTTTACTGAGGGACTTGATTTAATAATATGGATTCCTAATGTTTCTTCAAGAATTGTCTCTTTCCCCTTATTCTTTGATAATTTTAATAATCAATAGGATCTTCCTAGAAAAGTTAGAGACAGAATTGATGGAGAAAATAGCAAGACAAGAAAAAGAAATATGAGGGAGTGATGTTGCTGTAAAAAAAGATGAGTCACAGATGGAGACATTTGCAAAATGCAGAAGGAAAGAGTAGGAAATGAGGAGGCTTAATTATGGTGCATGATTCAACCACAGATTAGACTGCTGTATCTTCCTTCCAGTTTTCTTCACTTCTATTTAAACTATATAAATCTGGCTTCCTGATGTAATCTATTTCTAGTAATGTATATTTGGCCCTGACGTGTAATTCCTGTCATGGGCCACATCAACCTGTGAAAGACAAAAACCAGATTCCTGACAAGGTTTGGCATGGGAGCCCCTGCCTGAATTCCCCGGGCCACCAGCAAGTAAGACTTGCAAAGGCCCTGGAAGAGGAGCAGGTTCCCAGCTAACTACAAGTCCTCAAGACTCAACTCCTTTCTGCATAAACTCTGCCAATAGTCCTCTATCTTTAACAGAGGAAGAAGGGTTGAAAAGCCAATAGCAGAGGGTTTTGATACTATATGTCCCTGGCTTAACCCCATTTGATAACTTCCCACTTTGTATGACCTTGAGTATGTTGTTTTACTTCTCCAAGCCCAGTTTCCTCATCTCAGAAATAGGGAAGTAACATTGCTTAATTCACAGGGGCTTTTTTAGTGACAAGTGAATGTTGATGTATTTGTGCTGCTCTTAGCACTGTGCCAGGAACGTAATGACTGCATTCAATAAATGATACACATTCATTAATTCTTTCCAGCTGAAATAAATCTATTTTGGCCCATGATGGCCCATTAGGTCTTGTAACATGAGGCCTGACCCCAATACCCTCCTTTTGTGTAACTTGTACTGTATCTTCTAAGTAACCAAGGATGCAGCAAGCTCCTCTGCCCTGCCCTGGTCATCTTCGCAGAGATCATGACTCTCTCACTGTCTGGCCCACAGTATCACTGCCCCTCTGGAGCACTGGAATGATCCTGCTAACACCTAGGAAGATCCGTCTGTAAAGTATGCTAGACTTACCGCATTTGTACTTTCAACCTTTGAGAGTTTGTATGCATCTATGTGTGCTGCTACATGGCTCATGTGTAGAAGCAAGTACTTAGCCAGTGAGTAAGCCTGACTGACTGTTCAGCCTCTACATCTTAATTAGTTTTTGTGAATTTAGGGATTCTGGATGTCTCAAAATGTTTCCTTTGCAAATGTCAAGGGTACCATGTATGTAGAGCCCAATCTTCCAAAAAAAGCTCCATATGTCAGCTAGAAACAGAAGTATCTTAACTGAGTGAAGGTTGGAGGTTCCTGCATGAGGTTTCCACAAATGGGTTGTAGAAGGTCTTGGATTCTACAAGGTCTCGGTTTCTCTTAGGAGACCTTGGTCTCCTAAGGTCTTGATCTCTCTGGCAAAGTTAGTCCATAGTCATGACCCCTTTATGCTTCCTGCTGTTGGTAGATGTCATAGAAACCTAGCAAACAGTCAAATAGCACACTACCAAGACTGCCAGAGTAGGATTTCTTTTTAAAACCCAACATTTCTGGGCACATGCAAATGTCATTTCCTCTGTGAATGTGAAGTCCCCTCGGACTTTTCTCTTTTCTTTTTTTCTTTTTTTTTTTTTTTAGATGGAGCTCTGCTCTTGTCACCCAGTCTGGAGTACAACGGCATGATCTCATCTCACTACAACCTCCACCTCCTGGGTTCAAGCGATTCTCCTGCCTCAGCCTCCTGAGTGGCTGGGATTACAGGTACCCACCACCACGCCCAGCTAATTTTTTTGGATTTTTAGTAGAGACAGGGTTTCTCCATGTTGGCCAGGCTGGTCTCAAACTCCTGACCCCAGGTGATCCGCCCGCCTCAGCCTCCCAAAGAGCTGGGATTACAGGCATGAGCCACTGCACCTGGCCGGACTTTTCTCAAATAGTGTTCGCTATTTCATACTCTGTGCTTCCAGAGCACTCTATGCACAACTCATTACAGCATTATAGCATTTTAGCTGTGGGTCTTTTAGTCAGGGCCATCCTAATAAAGACCATAGTGGGTGGCTTATAAACAACAGAAATTTGTTTCTCACAGTTCTGGAAGCTGGAAGTCTGAGACCAAGGTGCCAGCATGGTCAGGCTCTGGTGAGGGCCCTTTTTCAGATCTCAGCCTGCCATCGTCTCATTTATACTCATGCTGGGGAAAGAGAACAAGAGAGGTCTCTGGGGTTCCTTTTACTGGAGATCTAATCCCCTTCCTGAAGGGATTTTATCTAATCCCCCACCTTCATGACTAATTACCTCCCAAAGGTCCCATCTCCTAATCACATCACATCGGGAGTTAGGATTTCAGCATATGAATTTCAGGGAAACACAAACGTTTAGTCCATAGCGGTCTCCTTCACCAGCCTTAGCTACTTGATAACAGAGACTCTATTTTAATCTTCATATCCCTAGTGCTTATCTTCTACAGTTTTTGGCATGTGGTTATTTCTTAATAATTTTTTTCCCCATAAGAATGAGCCAGGGAAGGCAGTACTCACAATGTGCTAGCAACTCTCCAAGCCATACTTCTATGGAATTGGGTAATACCTGCTAATTCCATAGAACAGAAAGTGGATAGATTACACAGCCCTAATTTTAGCTGTGGAGAGTTTTCCTGGACTCCTTATACAAGGGGATTCTCCCTAACCTTTCCTAGTGCCCCCTAGATTGACATCTCCTAAGGTCTTAGTTTCTCTGGCAAAGTTAGTCCACAAGGCATACTCTCATTATGCTTCCTGCTGTTGGTAGATGTCATAGAAACCTAGCAAATAGTCAGGTAGCACACTGCCAAGGCTGTCAGAATAAGATTTATATTTTCAAAAAATTCTCAAAGATAGGAGCAAAAGCAGGCGTGCCCTTCTCTTGTGACCTGTCACATCCTAGGGCAGTACACAGAGACTCCCAAAAGTCTAGTCTCCAGAGGAAGAGCCTCAGACCTTTAAACTGAGTGACTGGGAAATACCAGCCCCTCCTCTGGCACAATCAGGGGCTGGGATCTCATAGCCACATGATGGACGAAATCTTAGCTCCAACCCTGGTCCATCAGCCAAGCACTTACCATTAGGGAAGGAAATATTCTGGGGTCCAAACTGTATGGCTGCAGATATATAATATGGCAGGTCAGTGGCATGGTTTGTACTGCAGCATTCATGGCTGGAGTAGCACCAGCCCCTCCCCTGGCATAATCAGTGATCTTGAGATCACAGCTTACATGCTGTGGTAGGCAGGTGACCTTTTTGGCCACTTCGAGGTTCATGACCTGAATTACTCAACTGTGGCTGCTTTCACGTAGCTTTGCAGGAGGAAAGCCTAGGGGCGATTAGTACTGGACAAGTTAAACCCTGGTCTTTCAATGGACTTAGTCAATCCTTGTATGGTCTTGACTCATTAGCATCTGCTAATCCCTCTGAGTCTGAGTAAAATTAATCGGTCAAATTCACATTGAATTACTTCTTAAAAACAAAGTTATTAACACTCCTGTCTCTAAAATTAAAAGTGATCATTAAGCCTGCAAGGGTAGCAGCACCGTCTAACAGCCCAATGCATCTCTAGTGCCTATGCTACTGCTTTTGTTGAGTGAACGAAAGAATATTTTTAATTATGGGAATTAGACATCATTTTGGTTTGACTTTAAATAAAATGGGATTCAAATGTGTTTGCTATTTCCTAAAAGTAAATGATCCTGACAACTATAATGAGTAGTATTTAAAAAGGTCATCATTTTTATACCCTACCTCTCTACTCACCCCAGCAATCAAATAGTACCCTAATATCTACTTCCTGTCACGTGTTAAGTTTATCTAGAATAAAGGGCCATGGATTTAGTGAGAATCTAAGAAACAGCAGGAGCACGCAGGTCCTGCTTCACTAAAGAAAATTCATCTCCAGGTAGGCGCAGTGGCTCACACCTGTAATCCCAGCACTCTGGGAGGCCAAAGCAGGCAGATCACTTGAGGTCAGGAGTTTGACACCAGCTTGGCCAACATGATGAAACCCTGCCTCTACTGAAAATACAAAACTTAGCCAGGCGTGATGGCGGACACCTGTAATCCCAGCTACTTGGGAGGCTGAGGCACAAGAATCGCTTGAACCTGGGAGGTGGAGGTTGCCATGAGCTGAGATCACGCCACCATACTCCAGCCTGGGTGACAGAGACAGACTCAGTCTCAAAAAAAACGAAATTCATCTCCAATCATTGGAGGCATCATTGGAGGGCTTACTTACATCAGGAGCCTGCAAGGGGCATTTTCCAGACCTCCTGTCATGACAGCATGTCCTTATAAGATGGCACATTAGAATCAGCTGGAGATTTGATAAAAACAAACTAACAAACAACAACCAGATTTAGACCCCATTCCTAAAGATTCTAATTTAATTGGTTTGGGGTGGGGTGTGGGTATGACTGTAATCTGAAGGCAAACCATGTGTAAGCTGAATATGGTTTGTGCTGCTGCTGAGAACTACACAATACAAAGCATTGCCTGCATCTTGATGCCAATGTGGGAACTGATTTTCACTGTTTATATAGAAATAAAGTAAATACAGAAACCCAGAGCATTTAGAAATTTTTATAGTAAACTTACTGGGTAAATTATGTCTTTTAAATCTAATAAGAAGGTATCAAATATTATATTTCTAGTCTCTTATTTTTCATGTTATTTCATTTTTCTAGTAACAAAATTCATTTGTATTGTATTTAAAACAATACCAATTCATAATGGATTAAATATTAAAAACCGAAAAACCTAGCCCTTCACCTCAGTTTGCTCTATCTCTGTCTGTCTCTGTTTCTCTCTCACTCTCTCTCTCTGTCACTCACATATACACACACACACACACACACACACACACACCCCACACAGCAGAACTAGCAGAGAAGAGCAATAGTTACCAGCCTTCTTTGAGAATTTAGTCTGCTCTTTATTGCTCTGTCCCTGGCTCCCAGGGACAAAAAAGGGGGAAAGAAGAAAAATAAAAGAGGAAGAAAAGAAAAAAAAAGAGAAGAAATAAAAGGAAGAAAGGAGACAACAAAAGAAAAAAGAAGGAAAAAAGAAGGAGGGAAGGAAGGAAGGAACGGAGGGAGGGAGGGAAGAAGGGAGGAAGGGAGGGAGGGAGGGAAGGAAGTAGGGAGAAGGAAGAGAGTCATCTCACATTGACTGTGGCAATGCTGTATAAATTGATATTACAGGCCTTTCTTCTCACAGCCAGGAGAAGGTGGAGTGAATCTGTATACAGCATTTTTAGGGTCTGTATCTTCCCTTGCTCTGCACTTGTGTTCTGATGGTTTCAAGTTATTCTCCAATATGGTATTGACTCAAAACGTTGACTCAGAGAACTGGATTAGAGGAAGTACATTGAACTGGGAACCGAAAGCCTTGAGTTCCACTCTTATTCTGCCATTAACCAGCAGTGTGATGTGGGAAAGCTGCCAGATTGGTGAACTCCAGCTTTTTCATCAGAAGATGAAAGAGTAGGGCTTGACCCTTTTTAAGCATTGTGCCATAGTTGTATTTTGTTTCAAGCTTTTGCCTGCCTTTTGTTTCTTAAATATAACTAATTCTAAAAAAAAAAAGAGCAAGATTAAAATCTAATATTGACCTTTTGCTTTTAATTATTTAGGATGAGACGAAAGGTAAAGTTTTTGTTGTTTTTGCTTTGGTTTTTGCACATGGTCTTGGCTTCTTGGAATATAAATATAGTGCATATCAAATCCTATCTCTTGAGCATTATTAAATGAGAAAATAAGTATGTAGTCAGCAGAGTGAGTAGTTCTCAATAAGTGGAAGCAATAATTATTATTCAAAAATTTTAAATATTAATTTAATAAAGATTACTTATGAATGAAAAGCATCTAATAGATACCTGTTTTCCACATTTGCATTGTTCTTTATTCCATTAAAAGATTCAGAAGTGGCTGGGCATGGTGGTTCACGCCTGTAATCCCACCACTGTGGGAGGCCAAGGCAGGTGGATCACCTGAGGTCAGGAGTTTGAGACCAGCCAGACCAACATGGAGAGACCCCATCTCTGCTAAAAATACAAAATTAGCCAGTCATGGTGGCACATGCTTGTAATCCCAGCTACTCAGGAGGCTGAGGCAGGAGAATCTCTTGGACCCGGGAGGCAGAGGTTGTGGTGAGCCAAGATTGTGCCATTGCACTCTAGCCTGGGCAACAAGAGTGAAACTCCGCCTCAAAAAAAAAAAAAAAAAAAGAGATTCAGAAGCTCAGTGATGGTTGAGGTTTTACTAATTTGGGAGACACAGCTTTGGTTTGAGTTTTCAAGAGTTGCTTTGTTGATAAGAATATTTTAATAATGATTTTCCCGTTAATCTTTCTAAATTGTTCAGATAATAAATACTGTTCCCATTGAATGTCTAACCAAACACCCGTTAGTTTTCTGACTACTCTTTTAAAAATTCCTTTAGCTGTCTTAAGAGCATTTTACAGTAGAAAAAGATATTCCTTTCTGTGCAAGACAGTTTGGCCCTTAGGGGAAGAAATCTTTCAAAGGCAAAACCAGAAACTTTACAATGTTATAGTGAAGACTAATTCACTCTTTTTTTTTTTTTTTTTTGAGATGGAGTTTTGCTCTTGTTGCCCAGGCTGGAGTGCAATGGTGCGATCTTGGCTCACTGCAACCTCTGCCTCCCGGGTTCAAGCAATTCTCCCTGCCTCAGCCTCCTAAATTGCTGGGATTACAGGAATCCACCACCACGCCTGGCTAATTTTTTGTATTTTCAGTAGAGAAGGTGTTTTGCCATGTTGGCCAGGCTGGTCTTGAACTCCTGACCTCAGGTGATCCACCCACCTCAGCCTCCCAAAGTGCTGGGATTACAGGCATGAGCCACCTCACCTGGCCAATTCACTCAATTTCTAATACGATTCTCCAATAAAATGAACCAGGGCTCATTGGAAAAGTTATAGGACTATGGTAGGAAATAAACATGGTAAGCCTGGGGCATTGTGTGGTACCCAAAAGTAAGGAACTGCTCAAAAAATAAGAGGATGAGGACATGTTAAAGAACACAAGAGCCAACTTGGAAGAGCCCCTAATCTCCAAAGGTGTAACAATTGGAGTGACAATAACATAATATTGGATGTCTAACCCAAAATATAAATAAACCCATATCAATTCTACAAATAGCTGATTAAATCAATAAATGGAAGAGACACATCTTCCTTACAAAAGAATTCCAAATAATATATGTAGATATGCCCTCCTCCCAGAGATGGAGCTTCATTACTCCTCATCCCACCCTCTTGAGTATGGGATGGACTCACTGAATCATTTAGTAAATAGAATATGGAAAGGGAAAAACAGTGACTTTACAGTGGAGAACACTGACAAACATTACCTTCACCAACTAATCAAGATTAACATCACCAGTGATTCAGCAGTTTGATGCCATATCCTCTGTCTTAGTTTGGGCTGCTATAACAAATCACCATAGACTAGGTGGCTTAAAAAACAAACATTTACTTCTCACAATTCTGGAGGCTGAAAGTCTGAAATCATGGTGCTGGCACAGTCAGGTTCTGCTGAGGATTCTCTTCCAGACTGCAGACTGCACAATGGCAGAAAAAGGGCTAAACAGCTCTCTGGAGCCTCTTTTATAAGGGCACTAATCCCATTCATGAGGGCTCCACCCTCATGAGCTAATCCCCTCCCAACCACCCCACCTCCTAATTCTGTCACATTGGTTATTCTATTAGGATTTCAATATGAATTTTGAGGGGACACAAACATCTAGCTCATAACACCCTGTGATATACTGTTGTGAGAAGGGCACTTCACTTCCCTGACATTATCTTCAGAACTCTGTAACCTCAGTTCGACTCTGATGAAACACTGGACAAATACGCATTGAAGGACATTCTATAAACACCTCCCCAATACTCCTAAAAAATGTCAGGCACAGTGGCTCACTCCTGTAATCCCAGCACTTTGGGAGGCTGAGGCAGGCTGATCACTTGAGGTCAGGAGTTCAAGACCAGCCTGGCCAACATGGTGAAACCCTGTTTCTACTAAAAATACAAAAATTAGTTGGGCATGGTGGGGTGCACCTGTAGTCCCAGCTACTCAGGCTGCTGAAGCAGGAGAATCACTTGATCCCAGGAGGCGGAAGTTGCAGTGAGCTGAGATTGCACCACTGTACTCCAGCATGGGCGACAGGAGCAAGACTCCGTCTCAAAAAAAAAAAAAGTCAAAGTCATTACAAACAAAGAAAGTCTGAGCAACTATCAGAGCCAATAGGAGCCTGAGGAGACATGATTAAATGTAATGTGGTATCCTGAAGCAGAAAAACAGACATTAGGAAAAAACTCATGAAATGCAATCAAGTATGGAGTTTAGTTAACAGTAATGAACACATATTTGATTCCTTAGTAGTAATAAATGTACCATAGTAATGTAAAAGGTTAACAACAGGGGAAACTGAATGAAGGATATACAGGAACTCTTTGTTCAGGTACTGTTTTCAACTTTTCTGTAGGTCTGAAACTATTTGTAAAATAGTTTACTTACTTTTTTTTTTTACAGTGAATGCTACTTGATAGTTTGTGTAAAGGTGTTTATTAGCCACTTGACTGAGAGCAGGCAGGAACACAGCACTGAAAACAAGTCTCATACATAATAAGCGGTCAACAACCTCTATTGAATAAATGTAATAACTATCAAATATTTATACACAATATAAGTTATAAGCTATTTATTTGCAATTAAAAGCAGTTTTTAAAATCCTTAAATTTTAAGGTTATAGGAGAAATTACTCAAAAAGAGGAAAAAAATGTTTTCATTTACTGAAAGTTTCCAAAATATATTCAAACCAGGGATAATTTAAGGAAAGTTACAGAGGAGGTGGCATATGCAATCAGTTAGGAAGCTGCCCAGCCAAATGGAACATTGCTGAAAGGGAAAATGGAGAAGATCTGATTAAAAGTAGGTATGTTTTCTTTTGGGAACTTTAAAAATTGTTACCATTTCCTCTTCTGTCTCTTGTTTGTTGTGGTGAGCTCTAGGCTTCTTCCTTTCTCTTGTTTCTCTTGTTTTATTTTTATTTTTGCTTTATATATATAGATGTATATCTACATATATTTTATAAATATATATGTTTAAATATATAAAATATATTTATAATATAAATATAAATATATAACTAAACTTTTAAAATATAAATATATTAATATATATTTATATATAAAATATATACAATATTGATTGACTTGTATTTGATAATACTTGTCAATTGACAAGTAGAACTTGATTTAGATACTGGCTTTGTCATATAATGGCTATGTAACCTTGGACCAATTTTTATATATATATATTTTTTTCCTTGTGGTCTATCTCACATTTTGTTTTTTTCTTTCTTACTACTCTGATTTTCTTTTGTCTCTCCTTTTCCCCCCTTATGATCTGGCAGCCCCAGGCTGAAGCTTGCTTCCCTTTCATGTGAATGACTCAGCCCCTGTCTTCTGTTCTCAAGCACCTGGCTTGGGCCCATCCTTTACTTATCAGCATTTTCTTTAAGGACACTTGCAGGCATTTATGAAGTATTTTGCGATTCGCTCTTCATATGTTCTCTACATCTGAAAACAGATGCAGCTCATCGGGCTTGTTAATTCACAAATCTGGGAAACATTGTAGACTTCAGTGACAGAACTTACTTTCTATGAGTAAAGTGATATAACTTGTCCTTATTTGAAATATGTGAGAGCAGAATTATTAGGAAAAAAAAATTACTCTGCCAAACTTTTTTTTTCCTTTTTTTTTTTTTTTGAGATGGAGTCTGGCTCTGTCGCCCAGGCTGGAGTGCAGTGGCGCGATCTCAGCTCACTGCAAACTCCGCCTCCTGGGTTCACGCCATTCTCCTGCCTCAGCCTACTGAGTAACTGGGACTACAGGCGCCCGCCACCACGCCCGGCTAATTTTTTGTATTTTTAGTAGAGACGGGGTTTCACCATGTTAGCCAGGATGGTCTCGATCTTCAGACCTCATGATCTGCCCACCTCAGCCTCCCAAAGTGCTGGGATTACAGGCGTGAGCCACCATGCCTGGCCAACTCTGCCAAACATTTTTATCCTTTTCTTTAGAATGTATTTTTTAAAGCTTTATCAGTTTTCACTTCATTTTTTTGCCCCCAAAATCTGAAAACTTGATTTCTGGTCTCCTACCAGGGAGATTCTAGACAAGTCATATAGTTTTTCAAGTCTCCATGTACCTAGTTGTAAAATGGAAATCATCTATAATACCTTACATGGCAGGAGAGACAATCCCAATTGACTAGATGGCCCTTCCAGGTAGATATAAAATCAAAGATTCTAAGTTGGAATTAGAATTTGAGAGGCAACTCTATGTACATTTCTATTTATAGGCTATGAAACAAAATAAAAATACAAGATATAATCTCTGCCTTTCAGGAATTTTCCATTTTGTTTGGTATATAAGGCATTCACATAATGTAGCTAAATACATCGGGATGAATTATATGCTTGAATGTATGAGTTCCACAGATAGTAAGTGCTATAAAATTTGGAGAAGTTAGAGATCACTGAGGGCTGAAATGGTTCCTGGGGATCTTTCGGAAGTTAGGAAGCCATCATGTTACAAAACAACGTAAACTTTACTCTCAAGTAGAATTTGATTCAGCTACTGGCTGTCATATAATGGCTATGTGACCTTGGACCAGTTACACTTTTCTTACCTTCATGGAAATAAAGATAAAGTCTTAGTTTGTAGAATTGTCATAGAGTTAAGAAATACTGTGATAGAACACAAGATTGCTTAGCAGAAGAACTAATAAACATGCTCTCTAGTTGGAAGTGAGGATGATAGGAGGAATCAAGGATAAAGCAGAGTAGTGTAGATGCTTTTAATGAAAATGGGGAATCTTAAAGAAGCATTCAATTAAAAGAAAAGGAGATGAGTTTGATTTTGTCTGTGGTAAATTTTAGGAAATAATAGGAATCCCAGTATGAGTTTATCTGAAAAGAGCCAGAGAGATAATTCTGGGCTTAGAACAAGGAACTCAAATTTTCACTTCATCTAAATTAATTTGAAATGAAACAAATATACTGGCCGGGCGTAGTGGTTCATGCCTGTAATCCCAGCACTTTGGGAGGCCAAGGCAGGTGGATCACCTGAAGTCAGGAGTTCAAGACCAGCCTGGCCAACATAGTGAAACTCCGCCTCTACTAAACAATACAAAAATTAAGCAGGCATGGTGGCAGGCACCTGTAATCCCAGCTACTCGGGAGGCTGAGGCAGGGAGAATTGCTTGAACCCGGGAGGTAGAGGTTGCAGTGAGTCAAGATCACGCCACTGTACTCCAGGCTGGGTGACACAGTAGTCTCAAAAAGACTCCGTCTCAAAAAAAAAAAAAAAAAAAAAAAATATATATATATATATATACACACACACACACATACATATATATATAATATATACATACTTATATATAACATATACATACTTATATATATATAATATATACCTAATAGAAGTATTCTCATTTGTAAACTAAAAACTACATCCATCATGCATTTACTAAAAACTAAATCTATTAGGTATTTCTGAGTCTGAGCATTTTCTCACCATTTATAAATTTTTTCTGTTTTCATGGTACTTTATGTCTTTTACTTTCTCTCTCTCTCTCTCTCCTCTGTCTTCAATCCTTTCTTCTGATAGTGTTCAAGACATGCTACCCCAAGATATGGGATGTTGGCATCCGAAAAAAGCACAGAAGCAGGAAGGTTACCTTCCTCCACCATTCTCCCCTGAAGTGGGTCTTAAGAACCTAATTTGAGAAAGATCCTTCCTAGCCCAAGTAAAGAACATCCTTCTTTCTGAAGACACAAGAATGAAGGGAAGATTCTGAACAAAAGGGGCTTGCTAAGTTTTCCCCCAGTTTATTTATATTAGCTCATACTTTATTATCCAATCATTTTTCTACATGACTACCTACTTTTAAAAAATCAAACCTAGCATTAAAAATAGAGGGTTTACCCATGTCTTCAGGATTTCATTCCTTCATGAAGATGGTGCCTGTGTCACATAAAACTTACATTAAATAGGCCGGGTGCGGTGGCTTACGCCTGTAATCTAGCACTTTGGGAGGCCAAGGCGGGCGGATCACCTGAGGTCAGGAGTTCGAGACCAGCCTGACCAATATGATGAAACCCCATCTCTACTAAAAATACAAAAATTAGCCAGGTGTGGTGGCAGGCCCTGTAATCCCAGCTACTCGGGAGGCTGAGACAGGAGAATCACTTGAATCCAGGAGGCAGAGTTTGCAGTGAGCCGAGATTGCACCACTGCCCTCTAGCCTGGGCAACAAGAGTGAAATTCTATCTCAAAAATAAATAAATAAATAAAATAAACCTTATATTAAATAAATTTGTATTCTTTTCTCTTATTACTGAATCTTTTTTTATAGAGGTCTCAGCCATCAGCCATGAAACTAGGATGAGTAAGAAAAAAAAGACATTTCTAAACCATTACACTTCTTTCCTTTCATCTTAAAGAAATAATATAAAACTCAGGAGAGTAAAGAAACCTGTCTTATTCCATTAAGCCCTCTAGTACATAATATATTGCCTTGCACATGGTAAGCACTCAATAAATTTCTGTGAATAAAGGAATAAATAATGAATTGTTTATTTTTTGACAAGCTATTTTTTGACAGGTATGTGTACTAAATGTTGGAAATTTCAGCAGGCAAGAAATATGAGAGAGAAGGTCCCAGCCTTCCCGACGCTTATGTGCAGCATAGGCAAGAAAATAAGCGTGGCTCAGGCAAGTGTGAAGTCGACAGCTGGTTTGAAAGAGCTGCGTGGGTTCTGGGGAGATACAGGAAGCCCTGCTCTGGGAGATGAGGTAGAAGGACTGAGCACACTTCAGGCAGAGAGGTGACAGTAGCAAAGGCCCTGTGCTACGACGCAGAATGGCACATTCCAGAATCTGAAACAAAGTCAGTGAAACTGGAAATGAGAGAATGGGAAGAGTGTCACTTAAAAAGGCTGAAGAACTAACTAATCAGGGGACAGATGAAGTGCTTCAGGGAACATGTTGCTAATTTTGCACCTTTTCTTAGGGATAAACAAAAGCCACTGAATTGTTTTTAAAGAAAGAACAGACTCTGGAGCCAGACTGCCCAGATTCATGTGTCTGTCACTACATATTAACAGTAGGACATGGAGCAAAGCGCTTCCCTTGTCTTTTCTTCAGTGTCCTTATATGTAAAATGGGGATAATAACAGTACTTGCAGCAAAAGGTTCCAAGAATTGAATCAGTGAGAACAGACAAAAAACTGAGTACCTGAGTATCATGAGCACTATATAAAAGTTGATGTATACACATGCACACACGCGTACACACACACACACACACACTCATACATGTATACATACATATTTGTATAATTTTTTTAACAAAGAGATGTATGATCACATTTTTATTTTTAAAGACACTACTCTGCTACCGTTGGGGGATCACATTGGAGGCAGGCCTGAGTGGATGCAAAGCTAGGCAAATGTCTAATGGATTGGTCCAGGGAAAGGAGGCTGCTCACTGCTAGACTGGGGTGGATACTGGAGATGGAGAGAAATAGACTGATTGAAGACTTATATACTGGTAAAACACAAAGGAGCATGTGATTGAATTGATATGTTGCAAGGGAAGAGGAAATCATAGGGAAACAATCAAAACAAAGGTGACTTGCAAATTTCAAGTGATGCCATTGTGATGCCATTTCTGTTGGGAATGAGAGGGGACAAGCAGAGTTTATGAGGAAAGTCAAGTTCAGTGGGCAATGGAGATACAGATATAATATAGATATAAATATAGCTAAATGGATATTTGGAGTTTAGAAGAAATTATCAGGCTAGAGGTATAATTTGAGGGCCATTAACCATATTAAATATGCTAGGAACTGGACCTACAAAAGCGGATAATGTCATGTAAGTAAAAAATGAAGAATGAGAAGAAAAAAAGGGCCTTCCCCTTCTGGGACTCCAACTACAAATGGTCCCAGAGAGGGAAAAGGGTCAGACCTGGCAATTGATGTTAATATCCAGACCTTGACCTCACTAACACAGGATTACCTAAAGAAGGCAGTGGTCACCCACCATGCACAAAATTATTGGCTGTCTCCAATATCACAAGAAACAGTATGACTTTATCAAAGCACCCAAAAGCAAACTGCTGATGGAACCTTCAAATCAAAGCAAGAATAGTGCCCCAGTTGTATTAGCTAAACAGCATGTGAGTTCCTTGACAACAGGCATTTGTACTCTCAGTTCCATGGACAAAATTCAGAATTCAAGTAAAAAAAACCTGTTGCTCGTTGAAATCTGGCTGACACCTAGCCCTAATCATAATTTTCAACTCAATTCATAGATTTATTTTTGCCTCCTCTGAAAACAAATCTTTAATTTCAAGATTTCTGTCAATGGAAAGCAACATAATTTGAAAGGTAAAATCATTTTCTCTAATATAACATCAGGTAGTCAGAAATAAATGTAAAGTGTAATTCAAGACCCACAATTATACGGTAGCTCCATCTAATATACATTGATAATGCCATTTTTAGCATTTTGGAAACCAAATGATAACGGAATTCTTTAAAACACATTCTTTCTTTCATTCAGCCAATATTTATAATGTTACGTGGAGGCTAGGAAGAGAACTAATACAAAGGCCTTGGCCTCCAGGAGTTTACAAAGTCAAGTTAAGGAGTAGGTAGGTAAATGAGCCGAAATAATATAAAATGCTAATAGAGATAGGAAGAGGGAATTTTGCCTAAGGCCTGGGAGAAACTGATTCTGCCTGAAGCTGTCTGAAAAGACTTCCTAAAGCAGGATCTTTACATCTCAGTAGGCAAATAGGTAGGAAAGAACATTCCAGAGATAAGGAATAGTAATGCAAAGTCACTAAGAATAAAGGGTGCAGCATATTCAAGGAACAAGAGAAAGTTTATGCAGTTAGAATTTAAAGTGAGAGAAAAAGACAGCAAAGGCCTGGGGATATGGGCCAATTTGTAAAAGACTTCATAGACTAGGTTTAAAAAGTTGGGGCTTTTCTCTTTTAGAATGGCTGGCAGCCAGAGTGATATGATCCAATTTTTCTTCAGGATGACAACCTGAACAGCATTTGGGAGAGTAATTTGCAAGAGGAAGAGAATATCGGGAGAGGAACTAGTTAGGAAATTTGTAATAATCCAGTTAAAAGCTGACATGAGGCCCATCATGGTGGCTCATGCCTGTAATCCCAGCACTTTGGGAGGCTGAGGAGGGCGGATCACATGAGGTCAGGAGTTCGTGACCAGCCTGGCCAACATGGTGAAACCCCATCTCTACTAAAAACTACAAAATTAGCCAGATGTGGTGGCGGGCACCTGTAATCCCAGCTACTCAGGAGGCTGAGGCAGGAGAATTGCTTGATCCTGGTGTCAGGCCTCTGAGCCCAAGCTAAGCCATCTCATCCCTGGGGACTTGCACATATACGCCCAGATGGCCTGAAGTAACTGAAGAATCACAAAAGAAGTGAAAATGCCCTGCCCTGCCTTAACTGATGACATTCCACCACAAAAGAAGTGAAAATGGCCGGTCCTTGCCTTAAGTGATGACATTACCTTGTAAAAGTCCTTTTCCTGGCTCATCCTGGCTCAAAAAGCTCTCCTACTGAGCATCTTGCGACCCCCACTCCTGCCCACCAGAGAACAACCCCCCTTTGACTGTAATTTTCCTTTACCTACCCAAATCCTATAAAACAGCCCCACTCCTATCTCCCTTCACTGACTCTCTTTTCAGACTCAGCCTGCCTGCACTCAGGTGATTAAAAGCTTTATTGCTCACACAAAGCCTGTTTGGTGGTCTCTTAACACGGACGCACGTGAAATTTGGTGTCATGACTCAGATCAGGGGACATCCCTTAGGAGATCAATCCCCTGTCCTCCTGCTCTTTGCTCTGTGAAAAAGATCCACCTACGACCTCGGGTCCTCAGACCCACCAGCCCAAGTAACATCTCACCAATTTTAAATCGGGTAAGTGGCCTCTTTTTACTCTCTTCTCCAACCTCCCTCACTATCCCTCAACCTCTTTCTCCTTTCAATCTTGGCACCACACTTCAATCTCTCCCTTCTCTTAATTTCAATTCCTTTCATTTTCTGGTAGAGACAAAGGAGACACGTTTTATCCACGGACCCAAAACTCCGGTGCCAGTCACGGACTGGGAAGGCAGCCTTCACTTGGTGTTTAATCATTGCAGGGATGCCTCTCTGATTATTCACTGAGGTTTCAGAGGTGTCAGACCACACAGGGATGCCTGCCTTGGTCCTTCACCCTTAGCTGCAAGTCCTGCTTTTCTGGGGGAGGGGCAAGTACCCCAACCCCTTCTGTGTCTCTACCCCTTCTCCGCTTTTCTGGGGCAGGGGCAAGAACCCCTCAAGCCCTTCTCCTTGACCCTGAGCAGCAAGTCCCACTTTTCTAGGGGGCAAGAACCCCCAATCCCTTATTTCCGTGTCCCGACCTCTTATCTCTGTGCCCCAATCCCTTCTTTCCGCACCCTGACCTCTTATCTCTTGTGCCCCAATCCCTTATTTCCACGCCTTGACCTCTTATCTCTGTGCCCCAACCCCTTATTTCCATGCCCCGACTCCTTTCCCGCTTTCCTGGAAGCTAAGAACCCCCAAACCCCTTCCCTCCATGTCTCTACTCTCTCTTTTCTCTGGGCTTGCCTCCTTCACTATGGGCAACCTTCCACCCTCCATTCCTCCTTCTTCTCCCTTAGCCTGTGTTCTCAAGAACTTAAAACTTCTTCAACTCACACCTGACCTAAAACATAGATGCCTTATCTTCTCCACCCTCCATTCCTCCTTCTTCTCCCTTAGCCTGTGTTCTCAAGAACTTAAAACCTCTCCAGATCACACCTGACCTAAAACCTAGATGCCTTATCTTCTTCTGCAATGCCGCTTGACCCCAATATAAACTCGACAGTGGTTCCAAATAGCCAGAAAACGGCACTTTCAATTTTTCCATCCTACAAGATCTAAATAATTCTTGTCATAAAATGGGCAAACAGTCTGAGGTGCGTGATGTCCAAGCATTCTTTTATACATTGTTCCCTCTCTAGTCTCTCTTCCCAGTGCGACTTGTCCCAGATCCTCCTTCTTTCCCTCCCGCCTGTCCCCTCAGTCCCAACCTCAAGCATCGCTAAGTCTTTCTAATCTTCCTTTTCTACAGACCCATCTGACCTCTCCCCTCCTCGCCAGGCCGAGCCAGGTCCCAATTCTTCCTCAGCCTCTGCTCCCCCACCCTATAATCCTTTTATCACCTCCCCTCCTCACATCCAGTCCAGCTTACAGTTTCATTCCACGACTAGCCTTCCCCCACCTGTCCAGCAATTTCCTCCTAAAAAGGTGGCTGGAGCTAAAGGCATAGTCAAGGTTAATGCTCCTTTTTCTTTATCTGACCTCTCCCAAAATCAGCTGGCGTTTAGGCTCTTTCTCATCAAATATAAAAACCCAGCCCAGTTCATGGCTCTTTTGGCAGCAACCCTGAGACGCTTTACAGCCCTAGACCCTGAAAGGTCAGAAGGCCATCTTATTCTCAATATGCATTTTATTTTATTACCCAATCTGCTCCTGACATGAAATAAAGCTCCAAAAATTAAATTCTGGCCCTCAAACCCCACAACGGGACTTAATTAACCTCACCGTCAAGGTGTACAATAATAGAGTAGAGGCAGCCAAGTAGCAATGTATTTCTGAGTTGCAATTCCTTGCCTCCACTGTGAGACACACCCCAGCCACATCTCCAGAACACAAGAACTCCAAACACCTGAACCGCAGCTGCCAGAGCCTCCTCCCCCAGGAGCTTGCTACAAGTGCCAGAAATCTGGCCACTGGGCCAAGGAATGCCCACAGCCCGGGATTCCTCCTAAGCCATGTCCCATCTGTGTGGGACCCCACTGAAAATCGGACTGTTCAACTCACCCGGCAGCCACTTCCAGAGCCCCTGGAACTCTGGCCCAAGGCTCTCTGACTGACTCCTTCCCAGATCTTCTCGGCTTAGCAGCTGAAGACTGACACTGCCCGATTGCCTCAGAAGCCTACAGGACCATCACAGATGCTCTAGATAACTCTCACAGTGGAGGGTAAGTCCTTCCCCTTCTTAGTCAATACGGAGGCTACCCACTCCACATTACCTTCTTTTCAAGGGCCTGTTTCTCTTGCCTCCATAACTGTTGTGGGTATTGACAGCCAGGCTTCTAAACCTCTTAAAACTCCCCAACTCTTGTGCCAATTTAGAAAACATTCTTTTATGCACTCTTTTTTAATTATCCCCACCTGCCTACTTCCCTTATTAGGCCAAGACATTTTAACTAAATTATCTGCTTCCCTGACTATTCCTGGACTACAGCTGCATCTCATTGCCACCCTTCTCCCCAACCCAAAGCCTCCTTTGTGTCTTCCTCTCGTATCCCCCCACCTTAACCCACAAGTATGGGACATCTCTACTCCTTCCCTGGCAACTGATCACATGCCCATTACCATCCCATTAAAAACTAATCACCCTTACCCCACTCAACACCAATATCCCATCCCAGCATACGATTTAAAAGGATTAAAGCCTGTTATCACTCGCCTGCTACAGCATGGGCTTCTAAAACCTATAAACTCCCCTTACAATCTCCCCATTTCACCTGTCCTGAAACCAGACAAGGCTTACAGGTTAGTTGAAGATCTGTGCCTTATCAACCAAATTGTTTTGCCTATCCACCCCTTGGTGCCAAACCCATATACTCTCCTATCCTCAATACCTCCCTCCACAATCCATTATTCTGTTCTAGATCTCAAACATGCTTTCTTTACTATTCCTTTGCACCCTTCATCCTCATCCCATTTGCACCCTCGCTTTCACTTGGACTGACCCTGACACCCATCAGGCTCAGCAAATTACCTGGGCTGTACTGCCGCAAGTTTTCACAGACAGCCCCCATTACTTCAGTCAAGCCCAAATTTCTTCCTCATCCGTTACCTATCTCAGCATAATTCTCATAAAAACACATGTGCTCTCCCTGCTGATTGTGTCCAGCTAATCTCTCAAACCCCAGTCCCTTCTACAAAACAACAACTCCTTTCCTTCCTAGGCATGGTTATTGCCGTCAGAATTCTTACACAAGAGCCAGGACCGCACCCTGTAGCCTTTCTGCCCAAACAACTTGACCTTACTGTTTTAGCCTAGCCCTCATGTCTACTTGCAGTGGCTGCCACTGCTTTAATACTTTTAGAGGCCCTCAAAATCACAAACTGTGCTCAACTCACTCTCTACAGTTCTCATAACTTCCAAAATCTATTTTCTTCCTCACACCTGACGCATATACTTTCTGCTCCCCAGCTCCTTCAGCTGTACTCACTGTTTGTTGAGTCTCCCACAATTACCATTGTTCCTGGCATGAACTTCAATCTAGCCTCCCACGTTATTCCGGATACCACACCTGACCCTCATGACTGCATCTCTCTGATCTACCTGACGTTCACCCCATTTCCCCACATTTCCTTCTTCCCTGTTTCTCACCCTGATCACACTTGGTTTATTGATGGCAGTTCCACCAGGCCTAATCGCCACTCACCAGCAAAGGCAGGCTATGCAATAGTATCTTCCACATCTGCTATTGAGGCTACCGCCCTGCCCCCCTCCACTACCTCTCAGCAAGCCGAACTAGTTGCCTTAACTCAGGCCCTCACTCTTGCAAAGGGACTACGCGTCAATATTTATACTGACTCTAAATATGCCTTTCATATTCTGCACCACCATGCTGTTATATAGGCTGAAAGAGGTTTCCTCACTATGCAAGGGTCCTCCATCGTTAATGCCTCTTTAATAAAAACTCTGCTCAAGGCCACTTTACTTCCAAAGGAAGCTGGAGTTATTCACTGCAAATGCCATCAAAAGGCATCAGATCCCATTGCTCTAGGCAACGCTTATGCTGATAAGGTGGCTAGACAAGCAGCTAGCTTTCCACCTTCTGTCCTTCATGGCCAGTTTGTCTCTTCACATCAGTCACTCCCACCTACTCCCCCGCTGAAACTTCCAACTATCAATCTCTTCCCACGAAAGGCAAATGGTTCTTAGACCAAGGAAAATATCTCCTTCCAGCCTCACAGGCCCATTCTATTCTGTCGTCATTTCATAACCTCTTCCATGTAGGTTACAAGCCGCTAGCCTGTCTCTTAGAACCTCTCATTTCCTTTCCATCCTGGAAATCTATCCTCAATGAAATCACTTCTCAGTGTTCCATTTGCTATTCTACTACCACTCAGGGATTGTTCAGGCCTCCTCCCTTTCCTACACATCAAGCTAGAGGATTTGCTCCTGCCCAAGACTGGCAAATTGACTTTACTCACATGGCCCGAGTCAGAAAACTAAAAGACCTCCTAGTCTAGGTAGGCACTTTCACTGGATAGGTAGAGGCCTTTCCTACAGGGTCTGAGAAGGCCACCGCTGTCATTTCTTCCCTTCTGTCAGACATAATTCCTCGGTTTGGCCTTCCCAACTCTGTACAGTCCGATAGTAGACCGGCCTTTATTAGTCAAATCAGCCAAGCGTTTTTTCAGGCTCTTAGTATCCAGTGAAACCTTTATATCCCTTATGGTCCTCCATCTTCAGGAAAAGTAGAACAGACTAATAGTCTTTTAAAAATACACCTCACCAAGCTCAGCCACCAACTTAAAAGGGACTAGACAATACTTTTACCACTTTCCCTTCTCAGAATTCAGGCCTGTCCTTGGAATGCTACAGGGTACAGCCCATTTGAGCTCCTGTATAGATGCTCCTTTTTATTAGGCCCCAGTCTCATTCCAGACACCAGACCAACTTGGACTGTGCTCCAAAAAACTTGTCATCCCTACTGTCTTCTGTCTAGTCATACTCCTATTCACCGTTCTTAACTACTCATACATGCCCTGCTTTTGTTTACACTGCCGGTTTACACTGTTTCTCCAAGCCATCACAGCTGATATTGGTGCTATCCCCAAACTGCCACTCTTAACTCTTAAAGGAAATAAATAATCTTTGCTGGCAGGACTATGCTGAATCTCCTTAGGCACTCTCTAATCAGATGTCCTAGGCCCTCCCAATTCTTAGACCTTTAATACCTGTTTTTCTCCTTCTCTTATTCCGTTTAGTTTTTCAATTCATACAAAACTGTATCCAGGCCATCACCAATAATTCTAAATGACGAATGTTTCTTCTAACAGTCCCACAATATCACCCCTTACCACAAAATCTTCCTTCAGCTTAATCTCTCCCACTCTAGGTTCCCACGCCGCCCCTAATCCCGCTTGAAGCAGCCCTGAGAAACATCGCCCATTCTCTCTCTCCATACCACCCCCAAAAATTTTCGCCGCCCCAACACTTCAACACTATTTTGTTTTATTTTTCTTATTAATATAAGAAGGCAGGAATGTCAGGTCTCTGAGCCCAAGCTAAGCCATCTCATCCCTGGGGACTTGCACATATACGCCCAGATGGCCTGAAGTAACTGAAGAATCACAAAAGAAGTGAAAATGCCCTGCCCCGCCTTAACTGATGACATTCCACCACAAAAGAAGTGAAAATGGCCGGTCTTTGCCTTAAGTGATGACACTACCTTGTAAAAGTCCTTTTCCTGGCTCATCCTGGCTCAAAAACTCCCCTACTGAGCACCTTGCAACCCCCACTCCTGCCCACCAGAGTACAACCCCCCTTTGACTGTAATTTTCCTTTACCTACCCAAATCCTATAAAACGGCCCCACCCCTATCTCCCTTCACTGACTCTCTTTTCAGACTCAGCCCACCTGCACCCAGGTGATTAAAAGCTTTATTGCTCGCACAAAGCCTGTTTGGTGGTCTCTTAATACGGGCGCGCGTGAAACCCAGGAGGCAGAGGTTGCAGCGAATTTATATTGCACCACTGCACTCCAGCCTGTGCAACAAGAGTGAAACTCCTTTGCCAAAAAAAAAAAAAAAAATTGCTGATGTGGCCTTTTCTAAGGCAATGCCACTGTGGGTAGAGAAGAAGCATTTTTCCAGGTAAAGTAGGATTTTATGTCCAATTAGATAAGGAGGAGTAAAGAATAATTGGGAGATTCAGGGAGCTTCAGGGCTCCACGCAAATTTGATACACTTGAAGTGATGATACAGATGTTAGGTCATATCATCCTTGGCCTACTGCTCTGTGCGTTTCCTGAGACCAGGTTTCCATCTTAGTGAAAGTCTTAAACCTTGTACAGTCATGCATCACTTAATGACAAGAATATAGTCTGAGAAAGGCATCCTTAGGTGATTCTGTCATTGTGCAAACATCAGAGTGTACTTACACAAAACTAGATGGGATAGCCTGCTACACACCTAGGCTACAAAACTGTATAGCACATGACTGTACTGAATACTGTGGGCAATTGTAATACAATGGTGTTGGTGTATCTAAACATATCTAAACGTCGAAAGGTTTAAATACAATATTATGATCTTACGTGACCACTGTCACATATGCAGTCCATTGCTGACTGAAATGCTATGTGGTGCCATCACTGTACATGATTATGTCAACTCACTGCTGATCCACCTTGTTCTTGTACCACTGCCTACCCTCTGCACAGGACAAGGCACCTCTATCTTTGGAGAGGGAAATGTCATTAAGAATAATAGGGAGTAAGAGAGAAGGATTTGAGAGGCAAGGTGTAGTGAGGAGAAGGGAGACAGATGCTCTTTGTTTTAGCTATGCCCTGTCTCTAAAGTCAAGCACCAGTTCAAATGGAGACGGGGCTGACTTACCAGTGACTCTATGGACAATGTGATTGTATGTCTCTGAGTCTCACCTCCAATCTGAGCCTAACCTTTGTGCTGATTAGCAATTGATATATTGGAGTCTCGGACTTTGAAAGACCAAAGTGTATGTTCAAATAGCAAGTGCAAATTCAGTTTTGGCCATTTCATATAATTTATGTTACTATAATGACATAAATCTAAACGGAATATTCACAGAACCATTTATTTGTTTTGTTTTTTGCTTTTTTGTTTTTGTTTTTTTTTTTTTTTTGAGATGGAGTCTCACTCTGTAGCCCAGGCTAGAGTGCAGTGGTGCAATCTCGGCTCACTGCAACCTCCGCCTCCCGGGTTAAAAGGATTCTCCTGCCTCAGTCTCCTGAGTAGCTGGGATTACAGGCATGCACCACCACACCCAGCTAATTTTTGTATTTTTAGTAGATATGGGGTTTCACCATGTCGGCCAGACTGGTCTCAAGCTCCTGACCTCAAGTGATTCACTCGCCTTGGCCTCCCAAAGTGCTGGGATTACAGGGGTGAGCCACTGCACCTGGCCTGAACCATTTATTTGTTACATTGATATTTGAATAATAAAGTGACAACTCTTCTCTTTTATTTTCAGTCTCCCTCCCAAGCAGCTCTGAGGGTACATGGATAACACTTATAATCTTACAATCTGTGATTAAGTCAATAAATAGTCAGTGTTTTTAGCAGTCTATCTCATTTTTAAACAAAATGGTAATTTCTTACACATATTTATTTTGGATAGTGAAGTATATAACTCACAATTGATGGAGTAGAAAGTAGAGAAATTTCTCAATGTTATTATTTCTTTTGTATGCACAAAGTGACTATTTTATTTCCCTCCTGCTGAGGCATACTTCTTCCTTCCCCAAAGGAGAAATGATCATAATATATTACTTTCCCTCTTTGGACTTACTCTTAAGTATTATTTGATTCAGTTCCCATGCTAATCCTGTGATAGATGGAACAATGCTATTATTCCCATTTGAAATAAGAGAGAGTAAGAATTTTATCTAGAAGCAAGTGATTGGGGAAAAATTGGAACCAACACAAATATTTAAACTTAAGGTAGCAGTCCACAAATGATGATGATCCATTTATTGGAATACTACACAGCCATTAAAGAATAGTTCATAGAAACATATTTGTCACTAATGTGTATTTGATATTGAGAGACAGGACTAGCTGGATTTCCTAGGCCGACTAAGAATATCTAAGCCTAGCTGGGAAGGTGACCACATCCACCTTTAAACACAGGGCATGCAACTTAGCTCACACCCGACCAATCAGGTAGTAAAGAGAGCTCATTAAAATGCTAATTAGGCAAAAACAGGAGGTAAAGAAATAGCTAATCATCTATCGCCTGAGAGCACAGCTGGAGGGACAATGATCCGGATATAAACCTGGCAACGACTACCCTCTTTGGGTCCCCTCCCTTTGCATGGGAGCCTGTTTTCACTCTATTAAATCTTGCAACTGCACTCTCTTCTGGTCCGTGTTTGCTATGGCTAGAGCTGAGCCTTCGCTCGCCATCCACCACTGCTGGTTGCCATTGTCGCTGACCCACCGCTGACTTCCATCCCTCCGGATCTGGCAGGGTGTCTGCTGTGCTCCTGATCCAGCGAGACGCCCATTGCCACTCCGGATCTGGCTAAAGGCTTGCCATTGTTCCTGCACGGCTAAGTGCCAGGGTTCGTCCTAATCGAGCTGAACACTAGTCACTGGGTTCCACAGTTCTCTTCTGTGACCCATGACTTCTAATAGAGCTATAACACTCACCGCATGCCCCAAGATTCCATTCCTTGGAATCCCTGAGGCCAAGAACCCCAGGTCAGAGAACACGAGGCTTGCCACCATCTTAGAAGCAGACTGCCTCCATCTTGGGAGCTCTGGAAGCAAGGATCCCTGGTAACAATATGGAAAAATGTTTTCAATATATTGCTTAGTAAAAGCACAGATTATAAAATTATATGTCCAGAATGCCCTATCTTGAAAATATTCACTTATGTATAGGTATATATGCCTAGAAATAAATACCTGGAAAGGTGTATTGGGAAATGAGACAATAGAGCAAATAGATTAAGAACATGAGTTTGCCATAAAACAGATTAAACTATAATATCCAACTTCACTACATAATAATTTACTGCTTAATTTTAAATTAGTTACTTCTTCACCCTAAGCCTATGTTCTACCTTGTAAAATAGAGATAAAAGTATGATCCCCTTACAACAAGGTAATACAGTGAGGATCTAGTGAGATAATGCATGTAAAACCTTAAGACTAGTTTTCAGCACGTAGCAATCTTTTAATAAACTTTGCAATGTTAACATATATCCCTGGGTCACTGGTTATGAATGATTTTAACATTGCTTTCCTTCTATGCATTTTCTTATTCCTTAATATGGCTTTGAAACTTTTATCTTGTTTTGACATTGAAGAACACAATCAGAATGAGAACTGTGCATCTTGGCTCTGAGTGTAGTTTTATTTCCATATCATCCTGTATTGTTCAAGTGCAAATATGACTAGGGGCCTGGGCAGTGATTAAGAGCTTGGCTTGGGGAGACAGCTTGCCTGGGTTTTAATGATGACTCCACCATTCTATCTGTGCAACATTAGGCATGTTACCTTACTCCTATAAGCCTCAGTTTGCTCATCTTTAAAATGGAGATAATAGTAATCCTATTATACAATTATTAAGAGAATGGAATGAGATAAGACATGTATAGTGCTTAGTTGAGTGTTTGGCATATAGTAAATATTCAATCGAGGTTACTATTATAGTATTTATCTGCGTCTGTGGATGAACCATGGGAATCTGTGCACCTTCTGAAAGTCTAGGCAGAATTTAGTGTGCATATGATTACAGTTTTATATTTGCATATTCAGATGTCAAGGTGAATATTCAATGATTTTTCTTTTTCTTTTCTGTTTTTTTTTTTTTTCTTTTTGAGACAGAGTCTCACTTTGTCGCCTAGGCTGGAATGCAATGGCGTGATCTCGGCTCACTGAAACCTCTGCCTCCTGGGTACAAGCGATTCTTCTGCTTCAGCCTCCTGAGAAAATGGGACTACAGGCATGAGCCACCATGCCTGGCTAATTTTTGTATTTTTAGCAGAGACAGGGTTTCACCATATTGACCAAGCTGGTCTCAAACTCCTGACCTCGTGATCCGTCTGCCTCGGTCTCCCAAAGTGCTGGGATTACAGGCGTGAGCCACCACGCCCAGTCATTAATGATTTTTCAAAATGTTTTGTGCACCCAGAAAAAGCTAAAAGCCATCGTTCTTAACAGTGGTATCCACAGGGGAATGGACATAATTTTCTCTTCATTTTAGGATAGTCAAGTGTCACTACATTAGGTTGTGCTTAAAAACACAGAGTCCTGGCCGGGCGCAGTGGCTCATGCCTGTAATCCCAGCACTTTGGAAGGCCGAGGCCAGCAGATCACAAGGTCAGGAGATTGAGCCCATCCTGGCTAACACGGCGAAACCCCGTCTCTACTAAAAATACAAAAAAATTAGCTGGGCGTGGTGGTGGGTGCCTGTAGTCCCAGCTAATGAGGAGGCTGAGCCAGGAGAATGGTGTGAACCTGGGAGGTGGAATTTGCAGTAAGCCGAGACTGCACCCCTGCACTCCAGCCTGGGCAACAGAGCAAGACTCTGTCTCAAAAAAAAAAAAAAAAAAAAAAAAAAAAAAAAACACACAGAGTCCTGTGAAAATCTAATAAAAAGCAAAAATTAAATGTATTAATCTTTGCATCATCCCAGTTACTTGTAGGCCCTGGGCAGATGTGTCTGTGCAAACTTGCACGTCTCCTTCCAGGGATCCTCATTTCCTGGACCTTGTGGCCTCGTTCCCTTTAATCAGAGAGTTTCTTTTGGCAGAAATGGCTGAAGCATGCTGCACAGAGGTCTTAAGGGTTTCCAGAACCCCGGCCTGGGGAATTTTTACGTAATTTCAAATATTATATAATTCAGGGTTTAAATAGCTTACGTTTTGATTCCAAAAGATGTCTAAAGTCTGTTGAGTCTCAATTTGAATATTGTAACATTATTTTACCCACTGGTAGAAAAAACAAATTTTAGAAACTGGCTTATATAGCTTTTTGTCTATGAACTGGATGCTTCCTCATGTCCTGCTGCTAAGTTAGTCTTAGTTTTCATAAGGATGCACTTAAACGGAGGGTAAGCAGCATCCCGGATATTTAAGTAACCTAGACATAATTAAATGTATGTATTCATGAGCTTCTCTATTTTCACTTTTCTTAGGATAAAGCCCAAACCCCATAGCATTTATTAGAACACCTTTCTACCTTATCCCCCACCACTATGCCACATGCAGATCACCACTCCCCCAGCCACCTCCAAAGCTCCAACTCTGAGATTCTTCAATATGCTCTATGCTCCTTCTTGCTTCTGGGTTTCTATACATATTCCCTCTGCCACGAACACCTTTTATTCCTTTGTCTCACCCCACATTCAACACAAAGCAGTGACTCCTATTCATGCACAGGTCTCCACTTAGATATCACTTCCTCAGGAAAGTCTTCCTAACCCCAAGTATGACCTCTCTCCTTGTCTGGATCTACACTAACCTATAAATAATGATGGCAGGGTCTGTGTCTAGGCCACAGTTGCACATGCACCTATTATAGCACTTCATGTCATTTTAGGAATCCAAGGAATGAATAGTTATTGGATGAGTTATTTTTAGCTACTTATTTTCCATTGGTTCTTTGCTGGTTAACAACATTTCTGGTGGGAAAGAAAGAAAGAAAGAGAGACGGAGAGGGAGGGAAGAAGGAAGGAGAAAGAGAGAGAGAGAGAGAAAGAGAGAGGAAGGAAAGAAAGAAAGAGAAAGAAAGAAAAAGAAAGAAAGGGAGAGAAAAGAAAAAGATGGTGAGAAGGAAAAAAGGGAAGGAGGGAGGGAGGATGGGAGGGAGGGCAGAAGGAAGGAAAGAGGGGTAAAGAAAGACAAGTAAAGAAAAAGAAAAGAGGAAGGAAGGAAAGAAGGGAGAAAGGAGAAAGAGAGAGGGTGGGATGGAGAAAGGTCAGTTATGTACGAGATTGTTTGGTAAGCAGGACAATTCCTTTTTGAAATATTAGGCATGAATTCCATTAAATTGTACACAATTCTTTCAATGAAAGAATCAAGTACCATTAATTCATCTTTGCTTCTCATATATAGAATCACAATTCTATAACTAGCTATACTGGTTATATTGAATGTAACAGACTTCCAAGTAAAAATGATCAAATAAATAAATTTTATATTTTATTTATGTACCTCAGAACTATTGTATAAAGTCTTTGAAGAATAGATTGATATTTCTTCTCCATTGAGGACTATTTTTGAAGAGTCTGTACCATACATAAATGTGTTCATATATATAATTTTTTACAGCTGTCTCATATTTGAAAGTGAACCATTTCCTTTCAAAATTAGACATCTATTCAAGACAGAAAACTATTTTTAGTGGTAACAGATTTTGGAGTTATTCTAAAGCACTATTAATGCATTATTGATGCATGACTTGTGAGAAACTATACAAGATTGTTGAAAACGCCAAATATCCATTTCCAAGTATAGGCTTTCACAGAACACAGCCTTGCTTTTATTACTAATGACACTTACATTCATCACTGAGACTTTTAAGAAAGTGCCTTTTGAGGAGATCTATGGGGCTTGGGAGAGTATTTCTTTATTGGGAGTTTAAAAATGGAGGGCTTAGTAAGTCCATTAATATAGTTCTAGGACTAGGGACATATTTTAGGTAAAATTGTGAAAAATTGTAAATTGACTTTGGTGCTCTTGCACTTCTCTTCTGCAGATTTAGTGTCTCTCCCAAGCGCTCAGGGCTTCTGGATTCCACTCCAACCCTGCCCCTGGGACCACCTCCCCCAGCCGTGATCACATACTTCCCCTCTCCACAGCTAGTCCCTCAGAGTCAAAGCTGATGCCCAAAAAAGAGCTACCACTCCTTATCTCCCACCCCTGTAAAGACAGTAAAATTGTACCAGTGACACTAGTAGTGTCCAAGTGAGTCATACTCTCATCAGTTCCTGCCACCGCAGCAAGCACAAAGACTATGAGAATGAGACAGAAACTGGCCTCAGTTACAGGGATCTTTCCAGGTTCTGGCACCTCAAATTTGTTCTCTGAAGACCTTTTTCCTACTTCAGTCCTATATTTTTCTCTAGGTTCCTTACTGCTCCCTTGGACTTCAAGTCACCAGTGTTTGGGTCTATTTCTTTCTATCTGCTTCCCGTGACTCTGACGATACTAGATATTGTCATTTGCCCCTTCTGTGCATGTCTCTCTGTTCCTGTCCCATGGCCTTAATCAAACATCTGGACTTTATTTCTCAACCCTTGAATTACACCTTGGCTATCAATACTTCCATTTTTATCCTATTTTCCTTATTAGTAACAGAATTAAGATTGATTCCTTGCCCTATAAGCCACACTGATTACATTAGGCCAGCTAATTTGATGACCTAAGTTTTCTTTTTCTTTTTTTTTAAAGAGATGGGGTCTTGTTTTGTAACCCAGGCTGAAGTGCAGTGGGGCTCACTGCACTTCATGGCTCACTGCAGCCTCAAACTTCTGGGCTCAAGTGACCCTTCCACCTCAGCCTTCCAAGTAGTTGAGACTACAGGCACATGTTACAGCATCAGCTAATTTTTTTTTTTTTTTTTAATTTTTCAGGCTGGGTGTGGTGGCTCACGCCTGTAATCCCAGCACTTTGGGAGGCCAAGGCAGGTGGATCACTTGAGGGCAGGAGTTCGAGACCGGCCTGGACATCATGGTGAAACCCCATCTCTTCTAAAAATAGAAGAATTAGCTGGGCATAGTGGCACACGCCTGTGGTCCCAGCTACTAGGGAGGCTGAGGCAGGAGAATCGCTTGAACCCAGGAGATGGAGGTTGCAGTGAGTCGAGATTGCACCACTGCACTCCAGCCTGGGTGACACAGCGACACTCTGTCAAAAACAAAAACAAAAACAAAAAATTTATAAAGATGACATCTTGCCATCTTGCCCAGGCTGGTCTCAAAGTCCTGGGCTCAAGCACTCCTCCTGCCTTGGCTTCCCAAAGTGTTGGAATTACAGGCATGAGCCACGGTGCCCCACTAGCCTGACTTTAATATTTTCATGAGGCAATGCTTCAATGCTAACCTCCAATATAATTTCATGCATATTTTCAGGAAATACATGATGTTTTGCTATAAATAAGTCATTGGTGTTATCTGTTTCTACTTTGCATATAGGGATGAAGAGCCAGCCATTGTTAGAAAGGCAATGTGACTCAGAGGCAAGACAAAGATAAGATCCTTCGTCTCTGGTATTCAGAGCAGGTCCTCAATTTATGGAAATAGTGACATTGTTCCATTTTCCCCGCATCCCAGTGAAAGTATTCAAGTGACTGTTTACACACAACTGGTGATGTTCACAGTTGTAGCACTTTTGCCCTCAATGTGTTATATCTATAGGAATTCATAAGTTGAAAGTTAGTAAGTGGAGATGCTTTTGTATTGAAATCCGATTTCTATTAACCAAGCGAAGAGGAAACTGAAGGTCTATTTATTCTAGTTTTAGACACACTTCTAAAAAGTTTGGCTATCTATTGTGCTCACAACACTAAAAATTAACAAATAAGTAGAAATAGTGCCTTAGAGGGAAATAGTGCCTTGGGGGAAAGATCCAGAAAAAAAATGAATAGAAGTTTAGGGTCGTTTTGTATAAAGACAAAAAGTCTATTACGTCTCTCAAAAGACAATTACAACTTTCAAGTGTAATTCCAGGGCATGGAAGCATTGCAGGACAATTCAATAACTGGGAGTAAATTAGGTTCATACTCTGAGGAGACAGGCAAATTTTCAATATATTTGAGACTGTTTCCAGCCTTTCTTCTTCCAAGTCCCTCCTCCACTTTGAAACCAGAGTACTATTTCTAAGACACAAATGTCACCCTGTCATTTCCCTGACTAAAACCCTTCAATGATTCCTTCTCCTTTGTCTACAGGGTAAAAATCTAAACTTCTTGGCTTGATGTACAAAGCTCTTCCAAGCCAGACTGTAATTTATATTATTTGTTAGCTGAACTCCTACCACCTCTCCACATGGCTTAGCCTACTATGTATCATGTTTAAGACCTACAGAAAGCCCTAGAATAATAATCATACTTACATCCATTGACTGTTTGCTGTGTTCCAAGTATGAGGCTAAGAATTCTTTGAACACCATCTGATTTATAGAATATTTAAATGATAAATGTTTATTGATTGTTTTACAGATAAGGAAACTGCTGCTCAAGTTAAGGTCAAAGTTAACTGACACGTGTACGATTTTACAGCTAGTAAGCAGCTAAGTTCAACATTACAACCAGCCAGTCTGATTCCTAGTAGGTAGACCTCAGGCTTTTGCCTGAGAGCCCCACGGACACCTGCAATCATTCTCTTATTAAAGGATGGCTCCCACCTTGCCATGTGTACATCAGGATTTCAAAAAACAAAATTCAGTAGGAGAGATTAAGACGATTTCTGCATACTTCTCAGTACAATTTAAAATTCATAAAGGCATTAGATAAATGTGTAACAATGTGTGATGTCTTTTTGATGGGATAGACAGAAAACAGAGGTCTTGATTCACTTGGGGTAATTAAAGAGTCTGTGACACATCTTAAAAGTGAAGAGGTATATGAATTCCGGGGCCCTGGCCAAATTCCAAACCACATAATTATATCTTCTCCTTATACCTAAAATTTTTCTCAGAGTTTCAGCTGAAAAATAAATTCTTTACTTCCCCTAGTAAATGTTACCACTCAAGCAGAAGCTTGTAAGATATCCTTAGGCCCCTTTAAGCAGGCCCTTCCTACATTTCACTGAGGAGTCAAGTTTCCTGTGCAAAGTGGCCCAGAAGAAAAGACACTGTTTTACATAACTTTCCATATTTTGTTGGATAAATATGGTAAGCATAACCAATATATTTTAGGAAGGAGGTATAGGTTGACAGACAGATATAGACATTAGAAATATACTAAAATCAAAGTAACAGAATAATAAATATTGAACTTATTTGAATGATTGTTTGAATGCTTTATTTAAACTACAACTCACCTCTTGCAAAAATGGTGGTTCTGACTCCCAGGGATGTTTGTCGACATGATGAAATAAAAGCAATGTTTTAACTTTAACTTAACAAAATAAAGCTCAAGGGTCACTTCCATGTGTCTCTCTGAACTGGATTATGCTTTGGATTTCAACTATAATTGAAATTTGTCACAAGTGATACTGGAAGTGTTGTAACAAATAGTAATTGAAGTGGGTGTCTCTTTATTAAAACTGATGGCATACTTTTTATTACTGCAAACGTTCAGTAGAAATCCTTGCTAAATATTCATAGAGATGAAGTACTGAAACAGAAAAAAAGGAATCAGTGTTGATCAGACTTTCATTTCAAATGAACCACTAATCAAATTTATTATAATTACATACTTTATTGAATTAGTGAACTGCTTACATTTATTGAATAATCTCCTCATCACTATGCTGAGTATTTTACATTCATCATTCCAGGAAGAACACTGTGAGCTTCTCTGAACTACCAAAGTGAAGAAACTGCCTAGAGCACCCACCTATTTTGCTCTCGAGGAGAAGACTCAAGTTATTCCAACATTATTTTTTGAACTAACTGTTAAACATAGTGTATAAAGGAATGACTTCAAGTTTTAAATTAATTTTTGGATAAAACACAACGTTTCAGAGGAATTCTGCACTTGTAATGAGACTTAGTAGATAAAGAAGAGAAACAGATGGTCAAAATAACCACAAGCTGAATGAGTGGTCTGTGCACCTGAACCCCTGGCATATTGCGTTTTCTTAACTGTTATGTGTTGAGTGGATAGATGATCCAAGACAGGGTCTGCCTTCACAGTTTAGGTCACTATTTTTATTTCTCTCATTCTGGTCTAAAGCAGGCATATTTGGCTACAAACAACTGCTGAGATGAAGAAGAGAAGCCTGGAGCAAAATGAAATCTCTACAGAGGCTAGGGCTGGACATAGAGCTCTTGGTGAGTTTTGCCAAAAGAGAGCCAATCAGCTGGGCTTAGTGCTGCATGCCTGTAGTCCTAGCTGCTTGGGAGGCTGAGGTGAGAGGATCACTTGAAGCCAGAAATTCGAGGCCAGCCTGAGCCACAGAGCAAGATGCTGTCTCTAACAAAATAAAGTAAAACAAATAAATAAACATTTTTTATAAAAAGGTCTACTCAGCTCCAGCTCATTATAAACATATGGCAACGCCAGATCTGACTTTTTTTTTTTTTTTTTGTATTTTTTAGTAGAGATGGGGTTTCGCCAAGTTGACCAGGTTGGTCTTGAACTCCTGACCTCAGGTGATCCACCTGCCTCAGCCTCCCAAAGTGCTGGGATTATAGGCTTGAGCCACCACACCTGGCCACCAGATCTGACTTTTTAAAGAGAAGCCAGGATTTGTATTTTTTCTTAAAGTAACCAGGTTGGCAACGTTTTCTGATATTATAAATACACTTTAAGCCAACAGAATATGCCTACTACCCATTTTTGGTGCATAAATTGCACATTTGCAATCTCTCATTTATGTCTTCTGTTCTTCCCTCATTTATACATTTGTAAAGAAATTTTTCCTGATAATTACTACTTCCATTGGCTAAGACAGCTAGTGTTCATATTAAAATCAAGGTTATAACCAACTGTTTTTCTATATTCCTTTCTTGTTTTTTGGTTCAATTTTAACTTCTGTCTCCTCTCATTTCTCCTCCATCCATGGGGTTCATTTGGCAAGAAATTTTGCTATCATTCAGCCCCAAATGGGATCATACTTTAAATGTCTTCACCTGATTTGAGATCATCCTGAAACACCTACTTCCTGTCACCCTGGGTCACACTAAAGGTGATCAAAGGCAGGCACCAACCTGATACAACACCTTCCTCCCCAAGGTTAAGATATTCTCTATCATCCTATGAGTCATATCAGTAAAATAATGTTTAATTTTCACAAAAGCCACATCATGCTCTCATTTCACCCCCATCACTCAATTTCAAGGCAATTCATGTGGACTTAAAATGATTTCTATTTTACCTTTTGAACCTTCGTTCTCTTCCTTTGGAGGGAAAAATCTGTGACTAATTCTAATCAATTTTGTCCTAACTCATGTTTGCATTCAAAAGCAATGATTTTCTTCCTTTCGTAGATTCTTCACAATTGCCATCAGCTATGAACTCAAGGTCCTAAGCCTAATTTCTATTAGGTATCACTCTAAAATAATGACCACATCTCTGCCTGAGCGGTATCCCCTGCTAACCCCACAAAGCGTGTCTCTGCTTTTTAGTCCTGGCCCTGAAGACAAAAATGGCCTCTTCAGTGAGTCATGTGCCCCTACTGACCGCAGGTAAAGCAGTTACTGTCAGCATTGTTCATTCACTAGTCCCCTTAAACGTTGGCTGAGTTTATATCTTCTTTTCCCCAGCCCTTTATTTCTTTTCTGAGACAAGTCATATGATACACTTTTTGTCACTTATAAGCCAGGCTTCCTTTATTCCATTGTAAATCGGTTAGCTTTACTGTTGATTGCCTGAAAAATATTTGTGGATTTTGATTATCTAGTCCCTGATACCCAAAGATGTCTGTGATGATAATGTTGTTGCCTGCACAGGACTTTCAGTGTTAAAACTGGGTAGTCCCAGGCAGATGGGGAGAGTTGGTCACCTAACTGTCAGGGAGTTAATTGAGAGAACAGACTAGCAGAGAATGCTGGGAAAGCTTAATAAGGCCTCAGAAAAAAAACACCACCAAGTCAGTTTTATGGCCCAGCTTCCTGATCCTCTCTGTGTCTTTCTTTCATGGTGTTTTTCTTTTCTTTTCTTTTCTTTTCTTTCTTTTTCGAGTTGGAGCCTCACTTTGTCACCCAAGCTGGAGTGCAGTGGTGCAATCTTGACTCACTGCAACATCCACCTCCCAGGTTCAAGCGATTCTTCTGCCTGAGCCTCCCGAGTAACTAGGACTACAGGTGAACGCCACCATGCCTGGCTAATTTTTGTATTTTTAGTAGAGACAGAGTTTCACCATATTGGCAGGCTGGTCTCGAACTCCTGACCTCATGATCCACCCACCTCAGCCTCCCAGAGTACTGAGATTATAGGCGTGAGCCACCACGCCCTGCCTTTGGTGTTTTTCTTCTTCATATATCAACTCCATTCCCCTCTGCCCACCAACCAGTTTTCCTTGCTTAATCTTTGTTTCTGTTCCTGTGCAACTTCATGCTAAAAGCCTGTCTTTAGAGGGAGGATACAGTTTTGAATTCCAGGTGAGCCATGTACAAGCTATTCTTAGATCTGAATTAGCCATAGCCAAAGGTGGACAGAGAAGTAAGGTCGTGTGTGATCAAATACTGGAATTTTGGAGAGCACAGCCTGTTAGTTTGGACATATTCCTTAGATGAAGGTGTGAGTAGGACAAGCTTTTTCAATCTGTATCTGACATACCATTCTCACTACTACTCACCCTTTCCTCCATCAGTTCAAGTTTATTCTCAGATGCAAGTTCACGTACAAGTGTGAAATGCAAGTATAGAAATTCTCACTCTGTAGCCAAATGCCCTTGATAGACCTTAACTTACCACAACATAGCATATTCCTCCAGTAGACAAGTTCAAAGCATCTACAGCCTTCCTCGTGTCTCCTGGCATCTGGTTCCAAACTTCATAATCTTCTCTTAGAGGCTTTCAAACTGCCCTTTTAGGGAAGAAACGTAACATCAGAGTCTGTCCCAAGTTTCGTAATTCATTCATAAGACTTACTCCTTTACCAATAGAGTGATATCATCTGATTTGTTTGTACATCTTAAACTTCTGATTTTATCAAGCAGAAGGGTATCATTTCCAAAAACTTTGAAAAAAGAAAAGCAACATAGCTTTCAACAGCTAAGCTTAAAACCTTGCATTTCTCAAATTATCTATGTAAAATGTATGATTCATAACTTAAATACTTAAAGGTAAGTGGGTGGCGGTGGAGGGTGGGGGGGACACAACTAGAACACCACAGCAGAAACTTCTGACTTGGTAGCTCTTTCTGTATTTGAACTATGCAATTAAACCATACAACAATTTCTCTTTTTGCTGAAGTCTCTTTCTTACTTCTTTCTTTGAATAATGGGATTCCCTATCTTTTTCTGCCTCTCATCCTAGGGTTTTAATTGCTTTTATTATTACATGGATCGATATAGTAGAATCAAATTTTAGAAAATACTATTTTAATAGAAATTTATTTCCTTTACATATAAGAGACTGTCTGTAAAAAGAAAAGCATTCTCTGAGCTGGGCACAGTGGCTCATGCCTGTAATCCCCAGACTTTCAGAGGCGGAGGTGGGTGGATCACTTGAGCTCAGGTGTTCGAGACCAGCCTGGGCAACATGGCAAAACCCTGTCTCTACTAAAAATACAAGAAAAATTAGCTGGGCTTGGAGGCACATGCCTGTAATCCCAGCTACTACGGAGGCTGAGGCAGGAGAATCACTTGAACCTGGGAGGTGGAGGTTGCAGTGAGCTGAGATTGAGCCACTGCACTCCATCCTGGGTGACAGAATGATACTCTGTCTCCAGAAAAAAAAAAAAAGAGAGAGAGAAAAGTGTTCTCTGTAATTATATAATCGACATATTTTATCTTTTATAAATATAAAAATTAATAACACCTTTCTTCCAAAAGGAATCCTTTAAATACATTTAAGTTTCCATTTATCAAGAAAATCCACCCCTATAGAATAAGCTGGATCCTTGTGCATTTGTGTAAATTATAATTTACTGGATTTCTACTGCTTTTCTTAAATAGCCATTGAAACCTTAATAAACGTATGACTTATATTCTAGCCTCCACTTAGACCATATTAAACTAAAAGAGCTGATGTGACTCATTGATTCACAGAAGATACCTTCGGAAATATTTATTTTATAATCAGCTTGATACATTCAACCTTTGCATGTACTCATCATTAATCACTCAAAAGGGGATATAATTTTTTAAAAAACCTTTATTTATGATGAATATGAACATTCATCCATGTGTTTGTGATGCAGTTTTGTAAGCTCAAATTCACAATTTAAAATCAAAAATTTTAAATTGTCCTATTGAAATTTGGCTTCGCTTTATAATTAATATGTGTATGTTTCTTATTTTTTTTCTTCTTCACAGTTCTTACAGCTTTTCTGATACAGTCCCTCATGACTCTCAATTAGATTATTTCCCTCCTAAGTAGTAAAATTCTTTAGCATTCCTTGCTTCTACAATTCACATAGTATATTCTGCCATGTTGTTCTTAAAACTGTGTTTTTAATCTGTAATTCCTCTACCAATGGTCTCTAATTTTATGTCAAAAAATCATCTTGAAATAGCAAAATTATAAACATCTTGGATTAGAAAATACCTTAGCAATATGTAGTCCAGCCTCCCAAATCATTCATAGTATGTGATTTGTTCATCTATTCCACAAATTTTTATTGTATACCTACTGTATTTCAAACATGGGAACAGGCTCTAAAAATAATGACAGTGAAGATAAAAATAATACAGTTGCTCTCTTAAAATTCTAAGTGACAGACTGTTTTACATTCTAAGTGAGAGAGAAAAAAATAAACAAGAAAATAGACAAAAGAATCAAGTAGCATGTGTCATGAAGAAAATAAAATGGTGATGGTAACTGCATGGCTACTTTAGATTGGATGGCCAGGGAAGGTGTGTTAGTTTCCTAGGACTACCACAAAAAAATTATCACATACGTGGTAACCTAAAACAACATAAAAATATCCTTTCACAGTCCTGGAGGCCAGACATCCACAATCAAGATGTAAGCAGGCTTGTGCTCCCTCCAAATGCTCCGGGGGAGACCCCTTTCTTGTCTCTTCCAGTTTCTGGTTGCTTGATGCATTTCTCAATTTGTGGCTGCCTAACTTCAATCTCTGCCTCTATCTTCACATGGCCTTCTCCTCAATCCATGTCTCTTCTCTATGTGTCTCATAAAGACACTTGTTACAGGATTTAAAGCCCACCTGTGTAATCTAGGGTCATCTTAAGATTCTGAATTACATTAGCAAAGACTCCTTTTGAAAATAAGGTCACATTCACAGGTTCCAGGCATTAGGACATGGACGTATCTTTTTGAGGACCACCATTTCAACCCACTACAGAAGGATTCTCTGAAGAGGTGACATTTCAGTTGCAACCTAACTTTGAGGGTTTCAGTTGACATGTGAAAAAGACCACAGGAAGCCCTGGTGCGGTGGCTCATGACTGTAATCCCATCACTTTGGGAGGCCGAAGTGGGCGGATGACCTGAGGTCAGGAGTTCGAGACCAGCCTGGCCAACATGGAGAAACCCCGTCTCAACTAAAAACACAAAATTAGCCAGGTGTGGTGGCACATGCATGTAATTCCAGCTACTCGGGAGGCTGAGGCAGGAGAATCGCTTGAACCCGAGAGGCGGAGTTTCCGGTGAGCCGAGATAGCACCATTGTACTCCAGCCTGGGTGACGAGCGAAACTCTGTCTCAAAAAACAAACCAACAACAACAACAACAACAACAAAACAGGAAGAGAGACCAGCCAGTACAAAGGCCCCAGAGCAAAACAAGGCTGGACTCTTTGAGGAAGCAAAAGAAAATTAGCATGGCTGAAGATTCATTGTGAAAAAGAGTCTCGCAAAATGGGTACAGAGTGTGAGGCTGATTGTGGATGTTATGATAAATATTTAAAGGGGTCCCTTAACTTAGTGCCAAGCTTGGGAGTATGAATTGTATGTGTTAGTAAAAAGGAAGTGACTGAAGAGTTGTAAGCAGGACAATGGTAAGATGCAATTTATGTTTCGAAAATTTTATTCTGGTTCCTATGTAGAGAACAGTTTCTAAGGAAGCAGGTGGAAAAGAAAGAAGACACGTTAGGCCAGGCGTGATGGTTTAAGCCTGTAATCCCAGCATTTTGGGAGTCCAAGGCAGGCGGATCACGAGGTCAAGAGATCGAGACCATCCTGACCAACATGGTGAAACTCCGTCCCTACTAAAAAATACAAAAATTATCCGGGCGTGGTGGCAGGCCCCTGTAATCCTAGCTGCTCAGGAGGCTGAGGCAGGAGAATCGCTTGAACCCAGGAGGTGGAGGTTGCAGTGAGCCAAGATCACGCCACTGCACTCCATCCTGGTGACAGAGCAAGACTCCATCTCAAAAATAAATAAATAAATAAATAATAAGAAAGAAGACAAGTTAAAAAGCTGTTCAGCCGGGCACGGTGGCTCACACCTGTAATCCCAGCACTTTGGGAGGCCAAAGAGGGCCGATCATGAAGTTAGGTGTTCGAGACCAGCCTGGCCAACATGGTGAAACCCTGTCTCTACTAAAAATACAAAAATTAGTCAGGTGTGGTGGCAGGCCCTGTAATCCCAGCTACTCAGGAAGCTGAGGCAGGAGAATCGCTTGAACCCGGGAGGCAGAGGTTGCAGTGAGCCAAGATTGCGTCACTGCACTCCAGCCTGGGTGACAGAGCAAGACTCCGTCTCAAACAAACAAAACAAAACAAACAAACAAACAAAAAAGCTGTTCATGTAAATAGTTTAGGCAAGAGACACAAATGGCCACAGGTAGCTTTAGTTAGGGAGAATAGCGTACAGATCCAGAATATATGTTACAGACATAGTTGATAGGATTTGCTGGTTGATTTCAACTAGAAAGATGAGGAAAGCCAGGCGCAGAGGCTCACGCCTGTAATCCCAGCACTTTGGGAGGCTGAGGCGGGCGGATCACCTGAGGTCAGGAGTTCATGACCAGCCTGGCCAACATGGGGAAACTCCGTCTCTACTAAAAATACAAAAATTAGCTGGGCATGGTGGCGGGTGCCTGTAATCCCAACTACTTGGGAGGCTGAGGCAGGAGAATCACTTGAACCCAGGAGGTGGAGGTTGCAGTGAGCCGAGATTGCACCACTGCACTCCAGCCTGGGCAACAAGAGCAAGACTTCATCTCAAAAAGAAAAGAAAAAGAAAAAAAAAATGAGGAAAAGAGATGAATCATGGTTGACCTCCGGGTCTTTGGTAGAAAGTGTTACAATTTCCTGAGATGAGAAAGATGGTGAGAGAAATTTGAGGTGGAAAAATCAAGGGTTTGGTTTTGGCCATCTTCCATGTGGAGATGTCAAATAATTGGATATAGGAACCCAGCAATGGAGCAAAATGTCAGAACTGCAGACATAACTCTGGTAGTTCTCTTACTTCTACTTGGATACTATTGATGACAATTTAATCTTTAGGAAGTCAATTGTATTGTTAGACTTGTAATTTAGAGCCAGTTGATAAGTCATGAACACTCATTGCTCTCCTTAATGACTGCACACCCCCTGTGCCATGCTGTCCCCAAACAACAAGCACCACCAAAAGAGTATTATGCTAATTAGCCTAATTTATTCACTTTGTATATTAATCTTGTTTTCACTGAAATTACAAGGGTTCTGAAAGAAATCCCAAAAGAGGAAGTCTAAATAGTGGGAATTACAGTGTTATAGTCATAATGACTTATGCGGCTTCCCAAGATATCGAACTCCTCTGTAGAGAGCAGCAGTCATTTGAATATTTAGTAAGTTTTAGAGTATTTTTTTAAATATTCTTTTTTTTCTTTTTTTCTTTTTTTTTTTTGTGGCAGGGTCTCACTCTGTCACCCAGACTGGAGTGCAATGTTGTGATCTCAGCTCACTGCAACCTCTGCCTCCAAGGTTCAGGCGATTCTCCTGCCTCAGCCTCCTGAGTAGCTTGGATTACAGGAGTGTGCCACCTTGCCCAGCTAATTTGTTAATTTTTGGTAGAGATGGGGTTTCATCACGTTGGCCAGGCTGGTCTTGAACTCCTGACTTCAAGTGATTCTCCCGCTTCGGCCTCCCGAAGTGCTGGGATTACAGGCATGAGCCACTGTGTCCAGCATAAAATATATATATATATATTTTTTGGAGACAGAGTTTCACTCTTTTTGCCCCGGCTGGAGTGCAATGGTGTGATCTCGGCTCACCGCAACCTCCACCTCCTAGTTCAAGCGATTCTCCTCCTGCCTCAGCCTCCCGAGTAGCTGGGATTACAGGCATGTGCCACCACCCCAGCTAATTTTGTGTTTTTAGTAGACACGGGGGTTTCTCCATGTTGGTCAGGCTAGTCTTGAACTCTTGACCTCAGGTGATCCACCCACCTCGGCCTCCCAAAGTGCTGGGATTACAGGTGTGAGCCACTGCGCCCAGCCCAAAATATTCTTTACATTCGTATCTTACATAGATTTATATCTATGTATACTATGTATCTGTGGTAATTCTACATATGTAAACACACATATACATGTATACGTAAGGTATTATGTAAATGTGCATGTGACAGATAATAGATACAGGTGGAAGAGAAGAAACACATCACTGCTTTGAATGAGAACACCATAGTCAGCAATGTGAAAAGCCTATAGTCTTGCTGCAAGAGTGACAAATGGCCCTGAAGATTTTCTAATAACTAGAAAATCTAACAAACACAAAAAACTCACAGTGCAAATTATGTGTTCTGTTACACGCTCCCGTAACTGCTACTCATTTTTGCCCAGCTTAACCATCCAGAAAACAGTTAAAAGTTCTATTCTAGGCCAGGCGCAGTGGCTCATGCCTATAATCCCAGTATTTTGGGAGGCCAAGGCGGGTGGATCACCTGAGGTCAGTAGTTCGAGACTAGCATGACCAACATGGTGAAACCCCGTCCCTACTGAAAATTCAAAAAGTAGCCAGGCGTGGTGGAGGGCGCCTGTAATCCCAGCTACCCTGGAGGCTGAGGCAGGAGAATTGCTTGAACCTGGGAGGTAAAGAGTGCAGTAAGCTGAGATCGCACCATTGCACTGCAGCCTGGGCAACAAGAGCAAAACTCTGTCTCAAAACAAACAAACAAACAAAAAAGTGTAGCAATGTATTATAGCTCTTGGTGCTAGAGTGCTAAACCTCCCCTCCCCACCACTCCCCACCACCAACACACACACATTTTATTTTTCACTCTCCCCAGGTAAAAAGCAGTTAGCCTCAGGGCAAAGCCATGACTTGAAGTTGAGGATAAAATTAAGTTTAGTGATTAAGCAGTCTCAGTTACCTGATTTCATCTGAGACCCTTCATTTCCTTATTTCTCAGAAACCACGGTAAGTGTTGTTTCTAGGATGGACAAACTGATAACCTAAAACTGCACAGAAGACTCTGAAGTACTGAAGCAGAGAATACTCTGTTATAGAAACAAATAACCCTGTGTAATTTTGCTGTCCTAGAATGATGACTGGGGTGGGGGGAGCGGCAATTGCAACCTTCAGACCTACTTTGTCTCTCTGAGACACCCTGTGATATTTGGACTTGTAACCAAAACACCTGGGTTTGAATCTGACTCTACTACTTAGTCATGTGTGACTTTATAAATCTGTTTACATCTCTGAATCTTAATTTCTTTTCATCTGTAGAATTTTAACAATGCCACCTCATAGGAGGTTGGCAAAAGTGATTTAAAGTTTATTTGTATTGAATTTTTCTTAATTACCTTCAATATTAAAACCAACTTTTTTAAGTCCTTAGAGGATTTGAATACACTGACATCAGTTTTAGGAATATTGGTTAAAAATAACTCTGGGAAGTTTCAGTTGTGTTGGCATCACCCAGTCCTTGCTCTGAGCTCATGCAACATAAAGTCAGTACACCCCAGAGCCACCTCAGCTGCTCCAACTCTTGCTGATGTTTTTTTTTTTTAAAAGTTGAAAATTATATACATTTTCCTTTCAGCTAGCATTTTTAGTGAAATAATTCCAGTTTATATTTAAGCTTTTTGATTTTACATGCAAAATATATCATTACAACCATTAAAAAATATTTCATGTAAAAAAATAAATAAATAAAATGACTGAGAGGAATTATCTAGGAAAAGGTGTTAGATCACAAAGGAAGATTAAAAGCCCTCCATGGGGAAGGAAGACATGAGAACTGTTTGGGACCTTCAGAAGATAAAAAATGCGAACCTTGAGAAGAGAAAGAAAAAATAAAGAGTTTTAGTGTTAGTGTTAACTACCCTTATGTGAGGGTAGTAGCCCTAGAGTGAAGTGGGCCACTAGAAAAACAATATATTAGAAGTATGTAAATGAAAAGTAAAGTAGCACAAAAAAATAGTAATATCAAAGGTGAGTTTGGAAAATGAGAAGATGTGGACTTCTCTAAATTGATCAATGTTTTTGACATCATCAATTTATTTGCATAAGTTGAGATGTGTACTTTACACCTACTTCAAGTATTTCTGATACTTACCACAAGAATTTTTCTCCACTAGATAGACTAGTTATGAGTTTTTCACTGGCTAATTGTGTGTTCTATAAGATAAGAACACTGTGGGCCAAAGGTACTGCTGAAAAAAGAAACGGAAAAAATGGTGCAAATTAAAGATTATCATGGAGATGACATTGTCCTGATTCTTCATAGCAAGGGATCAACCAAACAGCCATGGAACCTAATTTAACTGTCTTCTGTTTGAAAGACTACCCAAAGGAAGAGTGAGGAAGGCATTTTTACTCACAGGAAGGAAAATAAAGAAGTTGCTTGAATAGGGCAACACATTTTTGGCTCCCAAATATTTCATTGATCTATTATAGCTTTGCTATCTAGCATGCACAATACCATCAGCTAAATTCAGTGTGAATGGGGGAAGTAGTATTGTGTGTGTTTAAAATTTTAGTGCGCCAGTGCTCCACATCCACTCAATTGAAGTGGAGCCAGTCCTGTCCCAGAAACAGTTCAGCAGTTTGAGAAAGGCCAGATGAAGTTTCATGTGAAATGATGTTCGCAGAGGAAGAAGGATGAAACAGATTGTGGCCTGCAGACATACAGATGGGGGTTATTTTAAAAACATCACCAATGAATTCTGGATGCTTATATATCTGAATTGTACATCAGTTACTTACTTACAGTTAATACTCTCTAAACCATTAAAGAAGGAATGAAAGTAATAAAATTAATTGTTCATTCATTAGCCCAAGAGCTTTTACATTGTACAAAATGGCTATAGAATATCAGCCTGATTGTATCAGCAATGGGTTATGCCTTTGGTACCAGGGAGTGCAATCTTCATACTCCCTAGATAGAGCATGCCTTCCCTAGAATGGCTTCTGGGAACCTAACTTTTCTTCTTTCTTACCTGAGTTGCTCTCCTCTTGAGGGAAGGCATCCATCTCTTCCTGGGGTATTGTTCAGTATCCTGATTCATGCTCTCACCTGGTGCCACATCCCAAAGTAACCTGAATGTTACTGTTTTTGTCATCTTTATTAATTATCATTTAACTTCGATTATGTAGAAAAACATGGCTATAGAGTATTTTCTAACTGGACTAGAATTCTATTTCTGTGCCCTACTACCTATGTGGCTTAGATTGAATCATTTCTCCTTCTCTAGGTCTAAATGGACCTTTTATAGGTGGGCTTTGCTGCTTTTATCCCCAAGGTGCTCTGTTAATGATTGTTTCTTTGCTGTGTGGCAAGAACATTACTACAAATGGAGAAATTAGAAATAAGATGAACATTGTCTCTGAGGGGAAATCATGAGTTAAGGTTTGGATATGCTGAGATTGAATCAATATGAATTTAACCCATTGGTGTTCACTCATGGCTGGTGCTTAAGGAGCTAAAGCTAAATATCCCTGGACTGGTGTGTACATAACCTGAGCTTGTTCAATGCAGAGTGCTTTAAAACCTTCCATGACTCCCTGCTTTCTTCAGGCTGACATCCAAATATGACAAATTTTTTTAATTTATTTTTATTTTTATTTTTCTTAGATGGAGTCTTGCTCTGTCACTAGGCTGGAGTGCAGTGGCACGATCTCGCCTCACTGCAACCTCCGCCTTCTGGGTTCGAGCAATTCTCCTGCCTCAGCCTCCTGAGTAGCTGGGACTATAGGCATGTGCCACCTTGCCCAGCTAATTTTTGTTCCCTTAGATTGTGTTAGTAATGTAAGATTTTAACAACTTTTTAGTGGAGGTATTTCTTTTTATCTGAATCTTCCATCAAGTGCCAAATGCTTTATGGGGAATCTAAAAAAGTCAAACTCATAGAAACAGAGAATAGAAGGGTGGTTACTAGGAGTTGAGGGATTCAGGAAATGGGAAAATGTTGGTCAAAGTGTACAAAATTGCAGTTATAAGATAAATAAGTTTGGGAGACTTAATATACAGCATGGTGACTCTATTTAATAATAATGTACACAAGGCTGGGCGCAGTGGGTCATGTCTGTAATCCCAGCACTTTGGGAGGTGGAAGCAGAAGGATTGCTTGAGCCCAGGTGTTGGAGACATGCCAGGGCAATATAATGAGACCCCATCTCCACAAAAAATCAAAAATATAGCCAGACGTGATGATGCATGCTTGTGGTCCCAGCTACTTGGAAGGCTGAGGCAGGAGGGTCCCTTGAGCCTGGGAAGAGGAGGCTGTAGTGAGCCATGATAACACCACTGCACTCCAGCCTGGGTGACAGACAAAGACCCTGTCTCAAATAAATAAATAAATAAAATTATAATAATGTATACAGAATACTTGAAATTCCTTAAGTGAGTAAATCTTAACCATTCTTACTACACACACACAAAAAGGCAACCCTGTGAGGTGATGGATATGTTAATTAACTTGATTATGGAAATCATTTCACAATGTCTACACATATCAAAACATCACATTGTACGCTTTGAATATATACAATTTTTGACAATTATAATTTAATAAAGCTGGAGGAGAAAAGTCAAGTTCTATTTTATCACAAAGAGGCATTACCTATTATATGGGCAAAAAAAGATGTGAAAACATGCCTTTGTTTAACAGAATGGCCACATTCTGTTAAACAAAACAATATTCTACAGGATATTTATGATCTATGTAGAGTTAGTATTTCTATTCTTTGTAGAACCCTGTTGCAGTTCTACATCTATTTCAATCCTGCCTTTCAATAAAATGCTAAACTATCATATTTGTCTTTTAACCTAATCGTCATACCTTTTAAGAAAGCATCAGCTAACTTTATCTTAAAATCTTGATCTTTGCAGCATTCAAATATTGGTACAGACGACATATGGGTTCTATAATAATCTTATTGTGGTTATCTTTATTATTTAAAACCAAATTACATTTAAATGCATTCTGAAATCTTTGAGTACAGGCTGAGAAATAAAAAATAATCTTGTCTGGGAGAGACCATTGTGATTTCACCCACAAATGATAGAAACCTCAAGTATTTGTTCAGGTCATTTAGGTATGCGTGTGTGTGTGTGTGTGTGTGTGTGTGTGTGTTTCATAATTCCACTTGACATTGCAGAAGTCTTTTCTGTTTTAAAATATTAACTCTACATTTGTCTTGAACTGCCTTATATTTACAACACTCCCATTAATATTTTTGACCTGGTCTAGTATTTCAGATAAATTCTTTACCCTGACACAAATCAATAATGAAGTGCAGTTTAGTTAAGGCTTCTATTAGGCCTGATTTTCTCAGGGATAATATGTGATATAGTAAACATCTTGCTTTTGCTTATGTGGTACTTCTGGGAGCGGAACAGTCTGCCCTCGGGCAAATGAATCCCAAGCCAAGGAGGGATGCACCCTTCATATTCTGTTAATTGATTGAAAGGGCAAATGATCTATAGGGAAAGTTGCATCATTAACTTAATTGAGGGCAAAGCCTAATTAGAGGGGAAATGGAGTAGACAGAGCCAGAGACACAGCAGGCCTTCATCTGTGATGTCAACAAACAGACCTTGTAACTAGAACCAGACAGAGACTGCAGGCCTTCATTTACATCTTCAGTTTCAATGTGAAAACATTCACTGTGTGACTGTATGTGTGAGTGTGTGTGTGTGTGTGTGTTTGGCCAGGGGAAAAGCAAAAGTTTACATACTTAGATAGAAATCAGTTCCTCCCAGGTGGAAATGCCTAGTGGGAATCAATATGTTTTAAACAAGTTAACTGAATTGTATATTTGAGAGGTTAATCTGAAACACATTTGAGCTCTAAAACCGGGCGGAAGTGGGGGAGGTCCTATTCTCACTTATAGAGCGGACGTAGAAGTAAATCAACCAAACATAAAGATTTTTTTTTCCAACTTGAGTATGGACAGATTACAGTGGGGATTTATTTTGAACACGACTATATTACTGTACGAACACATACAAAGTATTTGAACAACATAGGTCAACACCAATTTATCCTACAATAAGTAGCCATTCCGAAATAGGTATAAAATTATACTGCATTACAAAAGATAGGAGATATTGATTCCATTACAATGCATGTTGCAAGTGAAGATACCCAGGTTCCCCTATATTTTGTAAGTGAACTGCTTTCTAGCAACTCCTGGCTCCTTGATTGTCTTCTTAAAATCAGAAGCCACTGTATCATAAACAACAGTAATAAACTTAGATGCTTCTTAAGTGCTTTAAACTTTGGGTTCAAATTTGAGCTGAGACTAAGACAGGTGGTGATGGTCAGAACATGTGCTTTTTATTCTTTCAGAAAATTCCCTGTCCAACTCGCCGATGAGTGCATTTTTCTCTGAGTATAGCAAAACAAACAAAACCTTTCACAAGAAATTCCACTTATGAGAAATAAAGAATGTAAGCAGACATGTTTTGGCTACAGCACTAGTTGTTAAAATACATGGGTATTCTTTCAACTGTAGTCATTCATTGACTTTACAAAAGCTGGGCCCCATTTCTTACTTCTTACGCATACACAGATTTGTATATCTAAATTTTTTAAAGTATAGCAATCTTAATAAATAGAATGAATGGCTACTGAAATATTTCAGCTAAGAGAGAGAAAATCACACGTTAATTAACTAGAATTTTATTTGTTTAAGCATACCAAGTAGGTGCTATATCTGAGAAATAAAATAAGCCCTTTTGTATATAAGAAAAAATTCCAGTGACTTTGGGCAGGAAACTAGTATTAACATTGTATTAATAGGTTGTCTTATTAGAGATCTGGATCAATTCATCATATTTTCAGATTTAGTTAGGAATTTTTTTCTTCTATCATTTATTTCCCTGAATATTTATATCTCTGCTTCTCAAGTTTGATTTATCTGCAAACTCCTGAAGATTTTCTTTTTTCTTTTTTTTTTTTTTTTGAAACAGAGTCTCTCTCTGTCACAAGGTTGGAGCACAGTGGCACAATGTCAGCTCACTGCAACCTCTGCCTCCCAGGTTCAATCGATTCTCCTGCCTCAGCCTCCCGAGTAGCTGGGACTACAGGCATGAGCCACCATGCCCAGCTAATTTTTGTATTTTTAGTAGAGACGGTGCTTCACCATGTTGACCAGGATGGTCTCGAGCTCTTGACCTTGTGATCCACCCGCCTCGGCCTCCCAAAGTGCTGGGATTACAGGCATGAGACACTGCACCCAGCCAAGATTTTCAAGTTGCTAAGTCATATTGTCAAAACCGTATATTTTTCTTGATAACTAATCACAGACAAAGTTTGATCTTAACGGCAATGTGGTCATGAGGAAGAAGTCCAGCTGCAGCCACCAGTCTCAGAAGAAACACGCATGCTCTATCTTCCAGCAAAGTTCTATTTGTAAATGCTAAACTTACAAATTTCATCCAAAAAGTAACAAGGAATCAGTACCCTATAGTTTGATGACTTTCCTCAACCACAGGACTCAGGGCAACTAGGCTCAATTGAACAGTTGAATATTGCATTTTTGGTTAAATACAGAGATAATTTCCTTTCCATCTCAGATTGCATTTACTGAGAGATTGTTGTGAGTTGCAGTAAAACATAACTTTTGGTGTACTAATAACAGCATATCCATTTTTTCAAATCTAAATCCAAGGAGTTATTGGATTATGTTTAGCAGTATTTTCACCATACATCCATACTCCCTTCAGACTTTTTAACATTTTTCTCATCATGTTTTAGAAAGAGAAAAGATAACTCTTTGTTTTTTGTTGTTGATGGTTTTTTTTTTTTTTTTTTTCAGACAGAGTTTCACTCTTGTTACCCAGGCTGGAGTGCAATGGCGTGATCTCGGCTAACTGCAACCTCCACCTCCTAGGTTCAAACTATTCTCCTGCCTCAGCCTCAGCCTCCCGGGTAACTGGGATTACAGGTGCCTGCCACCACGCCTGGCTAAGTTTTGTGTTTTTAGTAGATACAGGTTTCCCCATATTGGCCAGGCTGGTCTTGTCCTGACCTCAGGTGATCCACCCGCCTCAGCCTCCCAAAGTGCTAGGATTACAGGCATGAGCCACCGTGACCGAGAAAAGGTGACTCTTATTGAAATTATAATTCAGACCTCTGCTAGAGTGGTGGTTTTGAATTAACTGACTGGTTCTACATCTATACTGCGTTTGCTTCTGGGGAACATGGCTGAAGGCCTTTGCCACCTAAAGGGCCTTGGAGCAGAATAAAAAGTCCAGGTCTCTTTGTGGCAGATATGCTTATATCTGAACTGATAATAAACACTGCCTGGAACGGGTAAAGGAAGAGAACATGCCACAGGTGTTCCAGTCTTAAGACTCAAAATCCTCCCTGTCATGGGTTCCATAACTATAGAATCCCAACACCATTACCAGCAATGCATAAAGAAATCCATGCCCTAAATTTTTTAAAAAACTCAGATAATAATCTTAGTAATTTGTCCATATAGTGTTAAAATCTGTATAACTAATATTTTGATTTTCTTCTAAATGCTTAATATTAAGTACTTATCATGTTTATCCTCATATTGAGTCCCTATTCTTGGATCTTAGAGGAAAAAATTTGTGATTTTTTATTAGAAAGATCTGAATTTGAGTCCAGGTGTCATCACTTACCAGTCACGTGATCCAGAGTAACACTAAAGCTTTTCTTCATTTTCATATGAAGAACTGGAATAGTAATATTTCCTTTGCAGGATAATTGTAAAACTTAATCTAAAATTAAAAGAGACAGGAGGAGTAGGGGGATTGAGGGATCAACATTTTATTCTGAGCACAAAGTATGTCTCTCTTGAGTCACAAACCTTGCCCCCAGATCACATTAAAATGACTCAAAGGAAGTGGGAAAAAGAATAAACTGATAACAATAAAGGGAAGGTAGGGAGTAGGCGTATTCACTAGCAGACAAGAGACGTCAACAAATTCCGGGTAGATATGAGCAGCTGAAAGCTGCAGAGAAACAAAGGGGAAGAACGCGCATTCCAGAGAATGCCCACAAGGAAGCTTAGTGGGCCATTCTCTTGGTAGTAGCACTATGGGCTCAGAGTTGACAACTAGGAGAGCAGGAGTGAGAAACGAAGCAAAAACAAGGGGCTTAGGTCAACTTTCACCTACAGTCCCCTCCACCCCTCCTGCAGGCAGAAAAACTGACACCACAGCCCAGCATTTACCTCCAGGCTAATCACTGTAGGGCTTTATCTTCAAAGAGTGAGCAAGCTTCCTGTTTAAAGCTAACCATTCAGTATGGACCAGGAGGATAAACTCACCTCCCTCTGCAGTGGAGGGCCAAGCTGCTTTCTGGTCCTCTGCAGGTGAAGTCCGCCACTGGAGCTGATATACCTCCTTTGCATCCCGAGCCGCTTTGGGGAGTGGAGGGAGGTGGAGAGAAATCACTGTGGAAGCTGACTTATTTACAGTACAGCTACCCATATCCATGCTGACCACCTGTGATATAGGAGGCCTTCATTTTTCACTAAGAGCAGTTAATCACGAATCACTAGATCAATGTGGAAAACCGTTAATTATAGCTATGATTTCTTAGTACTTCCTATATAGTAGATTTCATTCAATGTCTTGATTTATTTATTTTTTATTATTTTTTTATTTTTGAAACAATCTCGCTTTGTTGCCCAGGCTGGAGTGCAGTGGTGCGATCTCGGCTCACTGCAACCTCCGCTTCCTGGGTTCAAGCTATTCTCCTGTCTCAGCCTCCCAAGTAGCTAGGACTATAGGCACACGCCACCACACCTGGCTAATTTTGTATTTTTAGTAGAGAGAGGGTTTCACCATGTTGGGCAGGCTGGTCTTGAACCCCTGACCTCAGGTGATCTGCCTGCCTCCCAAAGTGCTGGGATTACAGGTGTGAGCCACCACACCTGGCCAATGTCTTGATATTTTTAATTCATTTAATCCTACTAGGATTAAAGTATGTTAAGCAGGTACTATAATTATCAATGTTTTATAATTGAGGAAACTAAACCACATAGAAGTTGAATTACTTGTCCAAAACTACCTAATTAATAAATGATAGAGCTGAAATTGAAATCCAGAAATCTGAGTCTCAGACTCTACATTCTTGAAAGCTATGCCATACTACCTTATATTTATCACTTCAAAAAAAAATCTTTTAGTTTCAGGAGTACATATGCAGGTTTGTTATATATAAACTCGTGTCATGGAGGTTTGTTGTATAGATTATTTTGTCACCCAAGTACTAAGCCTAGTAGTCATTAGTTATTTTTCCTGATCCCTTCTGTCCTCCCACCCTGCACCCTCCAAAAGGCCTCAGTATGTGTTGTTTCCCTCTTTGTGTCCATGATTTCTCATTATTTAGCTCCCACTTGTAGTAAGAACATACAGTACTTGGTTTTCTGTTCTTATGTTAGTTTAGGAGGGACAATGGCCTCCAGCTCCATCCATGTCCCTGCAAAGGACATGATCTCATTCTTTTTATGGCTGCATAGTATTCCATGGTGTACATGTTCCACATTTTCTTTATCTAATCTGCCATTGATGGGCATTTAGGTTGATTCCATGTCTTTGTATAGTGCTGCAATAAACACATGTGTGCATGTGCGTTTATGGTAGAACAATTTGTATTCCTTTGGGTGTATACCCAGCAATGGGGTTGCTGGGTCAAATGATAGGTCTGTTTTTAGCAATTTGGGGAATGGCCATACTGCTTTCCACAATAGTTGAACTAATTTACATTCCCACCAACAGTGTATAAGTGTTCCTTTTCTCCGCAACCTCACCAGCATCTGTTATTTTTTGACTTTAATAATAGCTATTCTGACTGGTGTGAGATGGTATCTTATTGTCATTTTGATTTTCCTTTCTTTCATATGCTTGTTGTCCGCAGATATGTTTTCTTTAGAAAACTGTCTGTTGATGTCCTTTGACCACTTTTTAATGGGATTGTTTGTTTGTTTTTTCTTGTACATTTGTTTAAGTTCCTTATAGATGTTAGATATTAGACCTTTGTTAAATGCATAGTTTGCAAATATTTTCTCCCATTCTTGTACTACCTTGTATTTTAAAAAAGAAAGCCTTTTTTAAAAAGAGTAAGATAAAGAAATAAACATAATTCAGAGAACAGGAAAAAAAGTGTTTTAATTACTATGCTCAAAGAAATTTGAGAGCTTATGTCATGAGCGTCATGAAAATAGAAGCAGAAAAAAGAATGAGCTCTTAGAAATTAAAAACAAAATTGCCAAACTTAAAAGAAAAATCAATAGAATGAGTGGAAGATAAAGTTATAGAAGACTTGCAATGTTTTATGAAGTAAAACATTGAAAGAAAAAGATATGCAACATAGAGAATCATTCCAAAAAGTCTAAAATTCAATTAATAGAAGTTCCAAAAAGATAGGAAATAGAAAATGGGTAAGAGGAAATTATATAAGATATATTAGAACACTTGAAGTCTTGGTATTTGGTATTAAAGAGAAAAGGAAAAAAAAAAAAGATATATTAGAACAAAATGTCCCAGTACTGAATGTACAACTTTAGGTTGAAAAAGTCTGACATGTTTTGAGAAACATGAATTTTAAAATCCATATTCAAAATATATCTTCATGAAATTTTCAGCACATTAAGTCTAAATAGAGGTGTTGAAAACGTCTAGGGAGAAGGGGAAAATGCCTATAAGGATGAAGGACCACACTGCAGACTGACGAGATTTTCCATCAGCTATCCTGGATGCTAAGGAAACTTTGGGTCCAGGCTTTTCAAATGCCGAGAAGTAATTTTCTCAAAGGTGAAATACAGTGCGAATTCAACTATTAAGTCAAGGATGGGGGCAAAAGGGAGGCATTTTCACACTGAAATTGATCAAACAAGGTATAATGGTATAAGCATATTATTTGTATTTACGTATATAACCACCAGAAAAACTAAACATATCAATAGTTGAAAGTGTAGGCCTGGGAAACATAGCAAAACCCCATCTCTACGAAAAATAGAAAAATTAGCTGACCGTGGTGGTGCAAGCCTGTGCTCCCAGCTATTCAGGAGGCTGAGGTGGGAGGATCAACTGAGCCCAGGGAGGTCAAGGCTGCAGTCAGCTGTGGACTGTGGTCACACCACTGCACTCCAGCCTGAGCAGGAGAGTAAGACCCTGTCTCCAAAAAAAAAAAAAAAAAAAAAGGTGTAATTCTAAGAAGTAAATATGGGAATGAGAAAAAAGCATGAGTCAGGAAATTATTAATTTTTATTGCATGTCATTTTGTACTCTGATTTTTTAAAAATAATTTTCAAGTGTTAACTTGTATTTCTTTATTAAAATTGAAAAAAAATAGTATCTAAGGCACATAGTCATTAAATGTTGGTAACCCATTCTATATCAAGGTTCCATGTACTAACTCTTGCTCCACCACATTTTCTGTATAAGAGCTTGAATGAATTATTTAACTTTCCTCTGCCTCCACTGTGTCTTCTGTAAATCTGGAGAAAAGTAGTGAGCCTCGAACTTAGGTGTGCTTAGAACCTACCCACCATTCAATGTACAATAGGAATTATTAATGTTATCTTAGATAATATTAATGTACTAACTGGCTCTGTCCTTTATGATTTTATAGAAATTTTACATTAGTTCATTTCTTCACAACTGAATTTAGAAAAATCCTTACCAGATATGCAATGAGGTCTAAACTAAGATGTTCAAATATTAAATATAAACTACTTATAATTTCAAACAATTTGAAACCATTTAATTTAAAATGTGAGTGTACTCTGATTATTCAAAATTTTATATTTATACTAATATAGAGATTCCATATTTGTTTTATAGTAGTCCATTATTAAAAACTTTTGAAATCAAAACCACTGTATTTGCTTTGTAATTTTCCTAAAGATTGTCCCACAGATGTGACTTTTTTTTTTTTTTTTTTTTTTTGAGATAGAGTCTCACTCTGTCACACCCAGGCTGGAAGGCAGTGGCACGATCTTGGCTCACTGCAACCTCCGTCTCCTGGGTTCAAGCAATTCTCCTGCCTCAGCCTCCTGAATAGCTGGGCTTACAGGCACATGCCACCACACCAGGCTAATTTTTGTATTTTTAGTAGAGACAGGGTTTCACCATGTTGACCAGGCTGGTCTCGAACTCCTGAGCTCAGGTAATCTGCCTGCCTTGGCCTCTCAAAGTGCTGAGATTATAGGCGTGAGCCACCCCTCCTGGCCAGGATGTGACTATTTCTTACATAAAGGTTGGCACTCTGTGGTTTTAAAGTTGTGTTCAGGGGTATATGTCAACCTTGGAAGAAGTTTCATCACGGGAAACACTTAACTTGGGTCTGCTATATCACTGCTTCAAGGATGATGGTTGAAATATAATGCAGAAGACATGCATGATCTGAAAAAATGACAAACCACTTGTCTCCTACAAAGTAGTGGTAATTAGGAGAATTAGATGCTGTTACTTCCTGAAGTTTCTATTTGAAATATGACTCCAAAATTCATCGAAGTCATTACCAAAAACACATCATTTTGTCTGAGACAACAGCATACTAGCTACAATGTTTTGGTGCAATATTGCTCGGTCTCAGTGAAATTTGCTTGTAAGAGGATACGGTAAATGTATTAGCTTGGTACTTATCCTACCAAGTACCATACATATGAATGGTAAATGTATTAGCTACTGTAACAGATTACTACAAACTTTGTAGCTGAAAACATTAATTTATTATTTTATAGTTCTGGAGATCAGGAATCTGAAGTGGGTGTCACTGGGCCCAAATTAAGGTGTTGGCAGTGCTGATCTCCCCTGAAGGTTCTAGGAGAGAATTTGTTTCTTCACCTTTCCAGCTTCCACAGGCCACCCTCATTCCTTGGCTAGCAGCCCCTCCCTCTACATGCAAATTTCATCACTTCGACTTCCACTTCCATTGATTGCCACACCTCTTATCTGCCTCTCATCTTCCTGCCTCCCTCTTATAAGTTCCCTTGTGATGACATTGGGCCCAACCAGATCATTTAGGATTATCTCCCCATTTCAAGATCTTGAATTTGATCACATCTACAAAGGGCATCTTCCTGTGTAAGGTAATGATGAGTGCAGGAAATGCTACCCCAAAATATGGCACTTTGGCATACTGAGTATTTTAAGCGGAAAGAAATTGAGAAAACTGCAGAAGCAGAAAGGTCATTCTCTGACCTTCTCTGCCTTTCTTCCCTGAGGCCATAGAAAGAATTTGTTTTACCTACCTCTCCTGATAGTAGGTTATAAGATCCTCATTCCAGAGGGGTCCTGCCCTATACCTGGAGGCCAAGGAGAATCTGAGCAAAGAAGCCTTGCTAAATTTCCCTCAGTTTATTACCATTAGGTCAACCCCCCGTTTTGTCCAGTCATACTTCTACAAGACTTCTCTTTCTTTTTTTTTTTTTTTTTTTTGAGATGGAGTCTCACTATTGTCACCTAGGCTGGAGTGCAGTGGTGCAATCTCAGCTCACTGCAACTTCCACCTCCCAGGTTCAAATGATTCTCCTGCCTCAGCCTCCCAAGTAGCTGGGATTGCAGGTGCCCTCCACCACCCCCGGCTAATTTTTGTATTTTGCGTAGAGATGGGGTTTCACCATGTTGGCCAGCCTGCTCTTAAACTCCTGACCTCAAGTGATCCACCCACCTCAGCCTCCCAAAGTACCTGACTTTTCAATCTTCATCAAACCTAAGCATACAAATATACAGTTTTCCCTGAGTTTGGGGGTCTTTTCTGAAGGCTCCCGTTCCCATAATTTTTTTTTTTTTTTTGTCATCCAGGCCGGAGTGCAATGGCACAATCTCTGCTCACTGCAACCTCCGCCTCCCAGGTTCAAGTGATTCTCCTGCCTCAGCCTCTTGAGTAGGTGGGATTATAGGGGTGTACCACCATGCCTGGCTAATTTTTGTATTTTTAGTAGAGATGGGGTTTGACCATGTTGGCGAGGCTAGTCTCGAACTCCTGACCTCAGGTGATCCGCCCGCCTCAGCCTCCCAAAGTGCTGGGATTACAGGCACCCAGCCCCATAAAACTTTTGTTAAGTAAATTTCTTGTACTTTTCTCTTGTTAATTTGTCTTTCATTTTAGGGATGTCGGCCATGAACCTTGTGATGAGTGAGAAGAATTTTTAAATTTTTCTCTCCTACAAAAACGTATTCAAAACTTTTAGAGATTAAGATGTGGCTATATTTTGGGAAACCATTATTCTTTCTACCACATTGAAGTATGAAATTAATCTCAATAATATAGTAATCTAAGCACAAAAAAAGTCTTGAAAGAAACCAATAAACTTAATCAAAATGAATAAACCAATGATGTGCATTGAACCAGGCTTATTCTATTACCAACACTAAGAAAAGAAAACTCTATTTGACATATAGCTATTATATTTGATTGGCATAGTGACTCAGGAGTTCATATTGTTAAAACTACTTTTACCTTCATGAATGCAATGCATTAATGAATATGTGGGAGGTAGGAGGAGGATGAGGAAGTTGGAGGAGGAGGGAATAAAGCATGAGGCATTTATCATTTCATGAGTCATCTTGACATAAAAGGATAAATGCCTCATGCTTTATTATCCAATGGAAACTTTATTATCAAATGGAAACTTTGTTAATAAATAATAAACAAACATTTTTATTTTGTTGATAATAAAAAATGCTTTGTTATCAAATGGAAACTTTGTTATCCAATGAAGTCCATAAAATGGAAACTCTGTTATCCAATGAAATAACTGAATTTTATACACACAAACCAAAATAAAGGTGAAGCAAAAAAATTTTTTTTTGTTTTTTTGTTTTTTTTTTTTTGTTTTTAGAGACAGAGTCTCACTCTGTGGCCCGGGCTGGAGAGCAGTGAGCAATCTCAGCTCAGCTCCTGAATAGCTGGGACTACAGGCACACGCTGCCACACCCGGCTAATTTTTTGTATTTTAGTAGAGACGGGGTTTCACCTTGTTGCCCAGGCTGGTCTCAAACTCCTGAGCTCAGGCAATCCGCCCGCCTCGGCCTCCCAAAGTGCTAGGATTACAGGCATGAGCCACCATGCCCGGCAAGAAAGGAAATTTTTAAATAACAGATAGCGGAAAGAGAAGTTTTGGATCCAAGCCCAATCTCTTACCACATGAACTTGATCAAGTCACCTAACCTCTCTAAGCTTTAGATGTGTTTCTGTGAAATGGAGCAATAATAGCTGCCTTGTAGGTAGACTGTTAGAGTTTGGAATACTCCCATCAGTCTCGTAATGAACAATGAGTTATCTACAGTCTCCCCAAATCACAAACAACGCATTCACCTTCAATGTGTTATATACAGTTTAAATCTCATAAATTATGTCTCCAGATAACTACATCAGATACTCTTCTAGTTCAGGAGACAGTAAACTGAAGCGCCATCTTTATTATTTTGTATGGTGTTGTTGATTCTCAACAGACATGTCTCAGGTTAATTCTACCCAACCACCTAAGATTAATGTGACAGCGTGTTGACTGATTTGACACATATGTAACTTTATTATATTTCTGTTTGCACTGGTTGTGTCCAAATTTAGGACGAAGTGATTTTAAATATCTGAATGGCATCATCTTTTCTTCTGTGAAGTACTTTTTATCATCATTTCCAGGACTCCTCTCCAGTCCTCTAATGTATCCTAATAGTTACTTCACTATGATACAATACCTACTACATGTAATGTAATCCAAAGTACATATTGTCTACCTTTTTTTCTCTTTAAATTTTTGAGACAAGTATTTACTTTCTATATCCCACATATCATTGGTTTTGGCCCCAGAATCTCAACCAGATATTCAAGAAAAATAAATCCACATGAAATCATAGAATCTCAGTATTGGAAGTGCCCCTGGCAATCACTTAGTTTCACCTTTTAGCAATGTTTAAACTCGCCATGTGTTAATGGCACAGAGTATCCTTTTTTTTTTTTTTTTTTTTTTTTTTGAGACGGAGTCTGGCTCTGTCGCCAGGCTGGAGTGCAGTGGCGCCATCTCGGTTCACTGCAATCTCCACCTCCCAGGTTCAAGTGACTCTCCTGCCTCAGCCTCCCAAGTAGCTGGGACTACAGGCTTGCACCACCACGCCCAGCTAATTTTTTTGTATTTTTAGTAGAGACGGGGTTTCACCATGTTTTCCAGAGTGGGTCTCTATCTCTTGACCTCGTGATCTGCCCGCCTCAGCCTCCCAAAGTACTGGGATTACAGGCGTGAGCCACCGCACCCGGCCTGAGTATCCATTTTTTAATAAAATGCATGATGATTAATGCTTGTTGGAGACAAGAGCTTCCAACTTTGTCATCTAACACACAGAAAATGTGGCATTTTTGAACTTGTCAAATCATGCTCAACAGATGACATAGCATCTACGTGCATATTTCAAAACTCTAAACTGGGGATTGGCAAATTGTGGCCCCAGGATCAAATTCAGCCTGCCACCTGCCTTTATATGGCCTGTGAAACAAGAATGGGTTTTACATTTTTAAATAATTTTTTAAAAGTCAAAAGAAGAATGATATTTTGTGTCACATAAAAATTATGCAAAAGTCAAATTTTAGTGTCCATAAATGAAATTTCTCGAAACACAACCACACTCATTAATTTCCATATTGTCTATGGCTGCCTTCCCATTACAATGGCAGAGCTGAGTAGCTGTGACAGAATCTGTAGGTGGTGCCCCATTCACTTCACATTGCTGTTAAGTACAGTACTAATAACAATGTCATAGTCATAACTCAACTGATTTTCAAGTGTCATATATGTTACTGTCCTGTGACATTTTATTTTAAAGTCCAGTTAAATATGACCAGTGCAAATCATGTCAAAACAAGAAAACAAAGCAAAAGTAGACTTTGAGTGTTACACGTTTAAGGAACAGTTGAGTGAAATTAGATGGCAAAGCATCATGTTTATTATGCAAAGACTTTTAGCTGTGCTAAAATAATACAACATACTTCAACATTACTGGAGCTAGCACTCGTCACAGTATCTCCAGCTTGTGGGAGAGCAGCAATGAGGAAAATCAGAAAAGTTAAGACAAAATATATAGCAGAATTTCTTCACAAAAATAAACAAACTGAAAACCAAAAAGGTTTTATTTGTTAGCCATGCAAGGAAACCTGTTTACTAGTGGTGATGTAATTAAATTGTGTTTGACACAATTGCAAAGAAATGTGTCCAGAGAAAATAAATTTACTTAAGACTATTAGCCTCTGGGTGAGAACACTTGCTCAAAAAGTTGAGGACATTAAGAGCAGCATCAATGGTCAATTAAAATAAAAGGCAAATGATTTTGAATAGTTTTCCTTGGCTCTTCATGAACTGATGGATGTCAGAGATACCACTTGGTTGTTATTTATTCAAGGACACAATGCTGAGTTTAAAGTGATGGAAGAATTAGCCTCTATGAATAGTCTGCATGTAGTAACTACAGACAAGAATATTTTCAAAGAGCATGAGAGAACACTAATTCAATAAAATCTGGAAGGAAATTTGCTAAGATATGTTAAAACTGATAGTGTTAAAAATACATATGGGGAAGAAAAACATTTAGTTGAACAAATTTAGAAAGTTTGTGAAAATACAGTGTTTACAGCTGGTGATTATTTATTATATTATTCACCAACAGGTGCTTTGCAGAAAATAAATTAATCTACCATGTGCTTTTGAACTAGTAGTATAAATTTCACGTGCTCTTTTGAGCTAACCATGATCAGTTCCATGATTTTATTTGGTCAAAAATAGAAGCTAAATATTCCGACTTGCCCTACCACCCAGGAATTTGATGGTTTAGCAGTAAGAAAGTTTAACTGTGATTTTTTTTTAAGCCCAGGACCAAGATTGATTTTTTTCTGCAAGAAGGATTCTCAATCACTATTATGAAAAACCGAATGGCTTTGGAAGTTAGCCTTTGCTGCAGACTTGAAAATGTTTCTTCATAAACTCACCCTAACATTGCAAGGTCAAATAGCACTACATGAGAAATTTATACTTCAGTGAAGACATTTTGACAAAAACTAACATTGTTTAAATCACCAGTAATGTTAAGCTGCTTTATACATGTCCCATTCTGTCAAAGGTTAAAATAAAGAGCAAGATCTTCATTCCTACAAAAATACATAGTGCATGTATCTTTTGACCCCCTACTACAGTTCAAGTAACATTTTCCAAACATGGTACAAGTATGAAGGAAATTTCTATGTTTCAAAAAATCCATTTAAATATATAATTCAGGAGCTTCTGCCTAGTACTCAACTTGAAGTTAATAATCTGAGATGTAATCACATCCTAAAATGCAAATATCAGGAAAAAACATAATAGAATTCTTATATAAATTATTTCCAAGTGATAAATAAGCTCAGTTAAAGTCAGATGCTAAAAATAAACACGTGTCTGTCTAAAAGCACATTTTCCAAGATGAAATAGATAAAATATCATACACATTTTACAAATCAACATTAACAGATAAACATGTGCAATCAATTTTGATCATAGGAAACACTAATTTTGAACCCCAATTAAATAAAATATTATCCCCACAAAAGAATTGTATTCTCATTAGTAGACGTATGTTACACAAAAGTTATACTCAATTATTACTATATTTTAAATTTGATCAATAAAAATTTCATTAAAAATTTACTTTTTTATTATTCAAGAGCAATTGTTCCCTCAGTATCCATAGGGGATTGTTCCAGGACACTCATGGGTACCAAAGTCACTGGATACTCAAGTTCTTGATATAAAGGGATACAACATTTACATATAATCTACCCACATCTTCCCATACGCTTTAAATCCTCTCTAGATTACTTCAAATACCTAATACAATGTAAATGCTATGTATTGTAGTCTGTTTTGTGTAGCTATAAAGGAATACCTGAGCCTGGGTAATTTATAAAGAAAGAAAGGTTTACTTGGCTCACAATTCTGATGTCTGGAAAAGTTCAAGATTGGACATTTGCATCTGGTTAGGGCCTCAGGCTGTTTCTACTCATGGTAGAAGGTGAAAGGGAGACGGTGTCTGCAAAGATCACGTGGCGAGAGGCACAGTGGAGGTACGAGGCTCTTTTTAACAATCAGGTCAATGGATTGGTAACCAATGGATAAGAATGGTCTTGTAATTATACAGAGCTTTGCAATGAGTTGAGAGAGAACTTTTGATTGTTATGATGATGATACTTCTTATAATTTTGTTATAGTGTTATGAATAAATTACTCTCTTAAATACTCTTGGAAATAAACTCAATATAAATAAATAATAAAAGTAATTACAAACAATTTCTAAAAAATTAATTCTGCCAACTTTTCCATTAAGAGTTCATAGATACAAAGAACATATGGATGCTAGAACATGCTTGTTTGTTTGCTTATTTGTTTCATGCAATAATAAATTGTTTTCATCAAGCCTAATTTTAACACTGCATTTTAAATAAGCTTATTTTCTGATATATGTTTATATTTCTAATGGAAAATTGTATTCTAAAAAATCGAAGTAAAATTAAATCATATTGTTAAGAATAATGTCATTTCCTGCATTATATTTACATAATAGATTAAGCACAATTAGGCCATTTGAAGTACTTGCAAATTATCTCTTTCTCTTGTCTATTTTATACCTATCCATCTCTCTATTTTGTAACTGCCTCTCTCTCCATCCCTGCTTCCACTGTTTTTTTCTTTAAAATCTTATTATTTTTCCTTGGAAATGGTCTCTGAATCACTCTGATTGTATTCAATAAATTTTTATTAAATGTTCAATGACTAAATCAGAACTGGGTCACTGTTGGAAGCACAATTATCAGGCTGGCTTCCCTCACTCCATTAACTGAACTCCCATCCATCCAAATACACAAAACGACCTTTCTAAAATCCTAAACAAATCTTGTCACTCCCTGGTATAATAATCTATTTTCAATGCCTTCCATTTAAAACCCTGGGTGCTTAACATGACACATAAGACCCTTTGTAATAATACCCAAGCCTACTTCAGCCTCATTTCCTGCAACTCCTGCATGTTTCCCCTGTAGCCATTCTCAGTGTCCCCAAAGCATCAGGATTCTTTTTTTGTTTTTTCATTTGGTGTCTTTGCTCATATGGTTCACTCTCGTTTTATTCAGACCCTCTATTTTTCTCTTTCACTTTTTGAATAACTCTTCCTTATTTTTAAAGGCCTTGTCATCTGGATAAATTTCTCTCTGTCTATGCTCTCTGCCCCCAATTTAAGTGATTTCTCATGGCTCATATTATACTGATGCATAAGCATGTATTAACTCATCTGGCGCCTTTACCAGTTCATAGGCTACTAGAAGGCATCCAGTCACTCCTTCGTCCATCCATTTATAAGTATTATGTTCCTACAGTTATTATAGTGCCTGGAATATAATTAGTTCTCAAGTAAATATTTTCTCAGTAAAAGCCAGGCCATTGTAGTGAGTGAGGCATTGGGTTCAGTGGGCCAAAAAAATAACTAATATTTACCCCAAACCTTCTCTGCTTAAAAAAGTCTTTTCACAGTTTATCTTCACGGCAATGCCATTAGACAGGTCTCATTGCTCCCATTTTACCAAATGAAGTACTGAAGTTAAATGGTGGACTCAAGGTTACTTAGCAAGGGAGTATTAGAACCAGGTCCAAAGACAGGTCTGTCAATCATACCTTTCTGCTCCCACAAATCCTCCCACTTGAGCTTTGACAAACCTGTTACTTTTTGCCTTGGTTCCCAACTTCCTAAATCTGGTTAATTTCATGAACTCACCTGGACCATGATGTTCATGAGTTTATCCGCTGCTACTCATTACCATTTTCCAGAGAAAATGTTTTATCCCCAAGGAAGTATTCTAGGGTAACTATTTTGAGGCAAATTGGGGAGATATTTGGGAGTCATCATACTCTTTCAAGGCTCTAGGAATTAGGAAAGAAGCTGTCTGGTTCAGTTAGTGGGAGTCAGGTGTGTGATCTTACATAAAAATTAACTCTAAGATTATACATTGGCAGGGCGTGGTGGCTCATGTCTCTAATCCCAGTACTTTGGGAGGTGGAGGCAGAAGAATTACTTGAGCCCAGGAGTTTGAGACCAGCCTGAACAACATAGTGAGATCTTATCTCTACAAAAAATAATAAAGTAGCTGGAATAGTGGCACATGCATGTACTCCCAGCTACTGGGGAGGCTGAGGTGGGAGACTCACTTGTGCCTAGGAGTTGGAGGCTGCTGTGAGCCATGACTGCACCACTGTACTCCAGCCTGGACAACAGAGTGAGATTCTGTCTCAAAGAAAAGAAAAGAAAGATTATATATTGACATCCTTACTAATAAATTGATGACAACCCTGAGGAATAGTATGCAGTCTATATAGCAGGCCCAGAATAAAGACAAGGACCACATCCTCAGACCTTTTTGCTAACGCTTCCCCCAGAAATAAATAGAAATATTTTACAGGAAAAAAAATTATGGTAACTGCCATTTGTAATATTAATGTCTATCTCATCCCTTATTTATTGAGCACTATGTGCTAGGTAATGTGGTAGGCATTTATTTTTTACATAAACCTCTACAGGAGGTACTATTTTCCAAATTACTTTGAACCCTGGAGTTGGCAAGTTTCAATTTTAAAATGTGTAAAATTTGTATAATAATACCTCTACCAGGCCAGGCACTGTGGTTCACGCCTGTAATCCCAGCACTTTGGGAGGCTGAGGTAGGCGGATCACGAGGTCAGGAGATCAAGACCATCCTGGCTAACACGGTGAAACCCGTCTCTACTAAAAATACAAAAATTTAGCTGGGTGGCAGGTGCCTGTAGTCCCAGCTATTCGGTAGGCTGAGGAAGGAGAATGGCGTGAACCCGGAAGGCGGAGGTTGCGGTGAGTGGAGGTAGCACCACTGCACTCTAGCCTGGGCAACAGAGCGAGGCTCTGTCTCAAAAAAGAAATAATAATAATATCTCTACTAGAGGATTGCGTGGAAAAGAAAGTGCCAAGCTTCAGAGTCGATGCCTGAGTTGTTTCCACTATTCCATGTTATAGGGTCTTAGCCTTCTTAGAAAATGAAGCACCATTGATTAGAAACTTTGCACCATGGGAAGAGAAATGGAAGGGAAATATGTATATGTGTGTGCATGCATGTGTATATGTTTATGTGATGTGTGTGTGTGTGTGTGTGTGTATGTAGGGGTGAAAGACTACATCACAGTCAGGAGCTCTGGAAGTAATGGAATGTCTGATGATGGCCATGAGATGGGGCAGATTTACCTCTGTTTATCCTGCCTTCCTCTAGACCACCATCGTGAATGTGGAAGAGACATTCACATACCCTCAGGGGGCTCCTTGCTGTGGTGGGATGCAGCCAATGCTCTCAGTACCTCTTTCTACTTTTTATTAGAGAGAAATAAGAAGTTAGGTCATTGAAGGCGGGGCACAGTGGCTCAAGCCTGTAATCCCAGCACTTTGGGAGGCCAAAGTGGGTGGATCACGAGGTCGAGAGATCAAGACCATCCTGGCCAACAGGGTGAAACCCTGTCTCTAATAAAAATACAAAAATTAGCTGGGCATGGTGGCGGGCACCTGTAGTCCTAGCTACTCGGGTGGCTGAGGCAGGAGAATCACTTGAACCAGGGAGGCGGAGGTTGCAGTGAGCTGAGATTGCGCCACTGCACTCCAGCCTGGCAACAGACTGAGACTCCGTCTCAAAAAAAAAAAAAAAAAGAAAAGAAAAAGAAGTTAGGTCATTGTAGACCAGTTGCTACAGACTACCTCAGAGAGATACAGTGCCCTCAGAAAGCACATTCTTTTGGGTTTCTAATACAATAGAATCAATGTATTATTTTTTTTTTGTTTTTAGTTTTTAGATACAAGATTTTGCTACATTGCCCAGGCTGGACTCAAAGTCCTGGGCTCAAGGGATCCTCCAGCCTTCCCCATACCTGGGACTACAGGTGCACACCACCAAGTAGTGGCACACCGTTTGGTGCCCGACCAAGAACCAATATATTATTGAAGAAATAAAGGATTCGTTGACATGCATCACAGACACACATCAAAAATTTGTACACTTAGATCATTTTTTTAAAATCTTTTTGTCGTACTCCTCTGCCTTTAACTATAATTTTTAAAAATACTAAATAAATGATATGCTTGGGAAGAAAAGCAAATACTACCAAACTATGTAAGGCAAATGATGAAAATGGCTCCATCACCTTCCTTGTTCCTGTCTCCTCACCTACCACATCCTCATGCTCATGAGCTGGCCCATAGCTCTCCAGCACACCTCTGTGTGTAAATGAGCTTGCATAGATTTTTTTTAAATGATACTATTCTATACATATTATTTGCTGCTTGCTCTTTTCATTCAAAAATGATCACAATTATCTTTCCTCGCATATAGATCCACCCAATCTTTTTCTCTTTCCTTTTTCCTTTTTCTTAATGTAGTGCAATTTATTTAACTCTCCCTACTGATGTTTGTTTTATTTGTCTACAGCAGTGGTCCCCCACCTTTTTGGCAACAGGGACTGATTTTGTGGAAGACAATTTTTCCATGAATGGGGGCAGGAGCAGGGGATAGTTTCGGGATGATTCAAGCACATTACATTTGTTGTGTATTTTATTACTATTATTATTACATTGTAAGATATAATGAAATAATTCTGCAACTCACCATAATGTAGAGTCAGTGGGAGCCCTGAACTTGTCTTCCTGCAAATAGATGGTCCCATCTGGGGGTGATGAGAGACACCGACAGATCATCAGGCATTAGATTATCATAAGGAGTGCATAATCTAGATCCCTCACATGCGCAGTTCACAATAGGATTCAGTCTCCTATGAGAATCTAATGCCACCACTGATCTGACAGGAGACAGAGTTCAGACGCTAATGCAAGAGATGAGGACCAGCTGTAAATACAGATGAAGCTTCGCTCGCTAGCCCACCACTCACCTCCAGCTGTGCAGCCCAGTTACTAACAGGCCACAGATCACCACCAGTACGTGGCCTGGTTTTGGGGACCCCTGGTCTGCAGTATTTTATAATTTAAAAAAATCTGAGCAGAACCTATTTGAGCTCTGGATTTGTCTTTGGATTAACGTTTCTAACAGGATTTATTGCTAAAAACAAAATTTCATGGACAAAGGATACTTGCAGTTGAGATAAGATTTTCAAAGGTTTTATACAAATCTACATAAATGTTAGAAAAGGATCTCTGAGAAAATTTTTAAGTCCACAAGGATTATTTCTGTGAATGTTTACGAATATAATTTTGATAAATATAAGAAATGTGAATAACAAAGATGTGCATGTAACCATTAGAAACAGAAAAAATGGAATATATATAAACAGAAAAATTAGCCCTTGTTATTACCCTAATTTTTTCATTGTCACAATCTACTTTGCTTTTATAAACCAATAGTTTTTATAAACCTTTAAAATTTGATATATAAATCTAAGACTATCTTTAAATATAGTGGCTATATTCTTGAATCTAGTATCACAAATAAAGAATATTAGATTTGAATTTTAGAGACTTAGAATAGTATAAGCTATATTTAAGAAGACATTTAAGACAGTTAACAGTATTTATAATTTTGTCTGGAGGAAACATTATTCTTAAGGTATTTATTACCAAATTTACTTAAAATGCCCCCAACATAAAATATTCTAGAAAAACCTAGTCAGGTTTCTGCAGAAAGTATTTAGTTTATACTGTAGCTACTATGACGGTTTGCACATTACATTTATTTAGGATCACATGCTTACTGAGATGTAAATTACTTTCACAATTTTTTTGGTCTTATTTATTTTTGCCTCTCCCAGCTTCCATCACTGAATGAAATCGAGGCATCAAACATTGGTTTCATGTATTTTTTTTGTAGCAACAACTGTAGAAATTGTGTATGATGAAAAGGTCTTAACTACTGCTTAAAGAGAAAAAGAAATTGTGTGGTTTATTTTTAAAGGGTGCACTCACACACTCACAAAGTAGTGGGGTTGAAAGGAGAGAAAAAAGAGTAAAAGTTCATTGGAACCCAATGATTTATTGGGAAAGGCTCAGCGAGCTCACATAAAAACCAAAGGGGGGAAGTGGTCGGACATTGGGTCAAATCTCCATTCACATGTTGTGTAATAAAAGGCTGACTGTAGCCTTTCAGCCTTGCTTCTAGTCATAGACAATGGCAATTGCAGAGCAAGACTAATAACAGGATTTAGCATAAATCCACCACAGGAAGTGAACAGTTGTACTGGCAAATAATTAGCCAGGAAACATTTTATAGCAGCATCAGGATGCGTCCGTGAGCTTTCAAACTCTCAATGCATTTGTGATCATGAAAACATAATTAGTTCTCAGCGATTGTAATTTTTGTGTGTGTTTGTTGTAAGATGGTTCCTTTCCCCTCCTTTCTTTTCACAAACAGGCCTTATTTTTCCTATCCTAATTTAGCAGCCCCAGTGAGGGTTTTGAAGTCTCAAGGGAGGGGTTTAGAATGTTCTCTTTTTTCTCCTGCTGATGCTTTTTTATTGCAAGGTGGATGGTGTTTATTTTGCACAGCTAACAAGTGAGTTCAAAGCAATACGTTGCTCTTGAACTTTTGCCAGATTCCCAAAGCTGAAAGCTCCCCTGCGTGGTAGAACCGACCTGTACTATCAAAGCCTGACTAATTTGCAAAGGAATGTCAAAATGACTGGTGCACTGCATTTTCCACCACCCGCTTCATTTGACACTTAAAGGAAAGCTAAGTGGGAGTGTAAAAGGAAGGAAATTCATTCAAGGAAGCGTACCTTATAATGTGTGAATTAATTTCAGAAGAGAATGAGAGCTCATTGCCGAGTACTTGCATTTTCATCTTCTGTGCTCTTTGTTGTAGTTACTGTTTTTGTAAGGGTTGCTAATAAACATTATGCTTCTGTTCTCACATCATCCATATTAGGAGGAAATGCTGTCATTAGACTTGGCTTTGAAATCCTTTGTGTCAAAGTGTCTACATGAAGCTGCTTCATCTGATTTAGTCACACCAGTCAAAGAGCGGCCTCATGAAGACAAACACTTGGTCCAGGGCGATATTTTTTTCGCCTTTCAACACTCTAAAAAATCATTTCCTCAGAACCAAGAGAATTACATATATGAACAAATATAAATTGTTTTTAGAGGAGACAAGACTGATAAATAAAGTCCTACACTTCACATTTAAAAGCATAATTCAGGGATGATATTTGAAAATGGAATTCAGCTCACCTAAAAATTACGCTGAAACAAAGGTCACAGAGAATCAGATCAAATAGGAGACTTTGATTTAATTTAGTCTAATTCTAATCTCTGTGTTCCAATTGCATTTTATAACCTCGAATTTTATTTAAAACTTATATTGAAAATATGACATTGACATATTCACCCAAATAAGTTCATCTGCAAATCATTTCTTTAAGCATTGACCCTAAAATTTCATTACTATTTCTGATTGTTTTCCCGGGGAGTTTGCTGTGATTTATATAAATTGCCATTGTCATCAGCCAGGTGAACAGAAACCTTACCTTCAAAATTGTTTTCCTTGCTTGAGTTTTGACCATGAATTTCTTAATGTTCCCTTCTACCTAAAACTGAACTCCATATCTCAGCATGGTTTTGACCACTAAATGTGTACCTTATCTCTGTTACCAAAATCTGAGGTAATCTGGCAATGCGTCAGTTACTTGGAAGTGAGCTACTAAGGTACAGTCATGTAGTAGTTGTCTAAAAAGTGAGTGAACGTCAAACTGAAGGCCATGCTGCTAAAGGATGAAGGCCAGAGTCACATGGATCCAGGTTTGCATTACAGCTTTAGCACTTACCAGTTCTATGGCCACTGCTAATTAATTACCTTTCAAAGGCTTAGCTTCCTCATGTGTAAAATGAGGCTAATTTTACCACCTAACCTGTGGTTTATTGTCCTCCGTACTGTGAATGTCAAACAATAAACACTTAATAAATGTTATCTATTACAAAATCAAAGCAGTTTGGAAATAATATGCTGCAAGAATCAGGAATTCCTTCAAGTGGGCTTAAAATATAGGAAATATGGCCAAGCGCGGTGGCTCTCGCCTGTAATCCTAGCACTTTGGGAGGGTGAGTCCGGTGGATCACCTGAGGTCAGGAGTTCGAGACCAGCCTGGCCAACATAGTGAAACCCCGTCTCTATGAAAATACAAAATTCGCCACATGTGGTGGCATGCTCCTGTAACCCCAGCTATTTGGGAGGCTGAGGCAGGAGAATCACTTGAACCAGGGAGGCAGAGGTTGCAGTGAGCTGAGATCACGCCATTGCACTCCAGCCTGGGCAACAGGAGCGAAACTCTGTCTAAAAAAAAAATAAAATTATATACATATATATATATACACATATATATGTATATATATATGTGTATATATACACTTATATATATACATATATATATACACATATATATGTATATATATACATACATACATGAAATATATTATGGAACAAAAAATCTGGAGGTAAGGAAAACTTCAAGTTTGGTATCATCAAATTTCCAGCTTTGTCTTGCAATGTTCTTGGTCTTTCCTGAGTTAGTTGTCTTCAGGATAGTGCCTCTCATAGTTGCAAAATAGCTGCCAGCAACAACCAGGACAACCCATGTCTTTGTTGAAATCTACCAGAAGAGAGAGGGGAGGAAAGTGCTCTTCAACCATAAAACTCTGTGCAGTATGACTGAGAAAAACTTAAGCTCCATACCCATCATATGTGTCATGATGGCAGACACCAGAGAAATATTTTGCCCTGATTGTCTTAAGCTTGGTTGTCAGAGCTAGTTTCTAGCATGGGAGAAGAAATTTCTTTTTTCTTTTTTCTTTTTTTTTTGGTTTGTTTGTTTGTTTTGAGACAGAGTCTTGCTCTGTTGCCAGGTTGGAGTGCAGTGGCACCATCTTGGCTCACTGTAACTTCTGCCTCCCAGGTTCAAGCTATTCTCCTGCCTCAACCTCCCAAGTCGCTGGAACTATAGATGCCCGCCACCATGCCCAGCTAATTTTTTTTTTTTTTTTTTTTTTTTGAATTTTAGTAGAGACAGGGTTTCACCATGTTGCCCAGCTTGGTTGTCTAACTGAGCTCAGGCAATCTGCCCGCCTCGGCCCCGCAAAGTGCTAGGATTACAGGCATGAGCCACTGTGCCTAGCCGGGAGAAGAGATTTCTTTTTTTTCTTTTACTTTCTTTTCTTTTCTTTTCTTTCTTTCTTTTTTTCTTCTTTTCTTTCTTTGTTTTCTTTTTTTTCTTTTCTTTTCCTTTCTTCTTTTCTTTTCTTTTTCTTTTTTTTTTGAGACAGAGTTTCACTATTGTTGCCCAGGTTGGAGTGCAGTGGTGCAATCTTGGCTCACGGTGACCTCTGCCTCCTGGGTTCAAGCGATTCTCCTGTCTCAGCCTCCCGAGTAGCCAGGATTACAGGTGCATGCCACCATGCCCTGCTAATTTTTGTATTTTTTAGTAGAGACGGGGTTTCATCATATTGGTCAGGCTGGTCTTGAACTCCCGACCTGAGGTGATCCGCCCTCCTTGGCCCCCCAAAGTGCTGGGATTACAGGCGTGAGCCACTGCGCCCAGCCAGGGAGAAGAGATTTCTATGTTTGATCTATACCATTGAGGATCTCACCGTAGAGCTGAATTGAAAGTCATCTTCCCCTGAGTCATATGGGCTAGATGCAGAAGGATGGATGCATAGACAGAGTTGGGGTATTGTTAGGAAGGTTGAAAAAAGTTGTGGGGGTCTATTAGTCAGGGTCGCAGAAGAAAAGAAATGGCGCATTCAAACTGAATAGTTAGAGTTCTAATCACAAAGGTAAGGGCAGAGTTACTTCTATTAGTTACAACAACCAGGAATTGTTACCAAGCCTAAACCTGAAGGGGTAGGGGAAGAAGTAGTTAGCACAACCCAGGAATAAAATGACTGTGAATGAGGACACCTGATAGGATTGTGACCTTTATCAGGGGACTCAACCAGTCCCCCAGCCATCTTAAACAACTTTACTGGGGATATTTCAAGGATTGTTGGGGTATCACTCTCCTTCCACCCCCTAATTTCTTCCTGGTGCCTCCTGTTGGTGGAACACAGCCAGAAGCCAGAGGGCATGAAAGTCTGCTGGTGGAGTTCAGGGAGGTCAGCATCCCAGGCACAGAGTGAGATGGGGGAAGAAAGGAAAGATAGCCAGAACAAGAACCTAGGACAGGCCACTTCTGGGTAAGCAAACAACAGAGTGTAAAAGTATTCTCTAAGACATCACAGAAATACAAAAGAGAGAAAGAGGGGGAAAACAAAAAAATAGAAATATTAAAGAAGGGTGGAAGAAAAAAAGTTTTTTGGCAAACAGAAATAGGTTGGAAACTCAAGATTTAAGTGTGACTGCAAATGTGCAAAGATTGCACATTTTGCTAAGGAGAAGCGGATTAATATTTTCAGAAGCTGGAGAAAGCAATCAAAGACAACCTGCCTGGAAAGTAATACATTAATTCATCTTGCAAATATTTTTAAGTGCCTACTCAGAAAGGCAATATGAAGGGAAAGAGTACTTAAAAACTGGAATTTGGGGCTAGTTTTTCTGGTTTTGCATTGTGAAGTCACCACCACTTACTAGCAACCTCAGGCAACTTACTTCAACTCCCTGTATCTCCACTTCCTCATCTGTCAAGAGTGATATTAATGATACATTTCTGTTGGGATTCTTTGAGAATTAGATGGTCTGAAATAAAACATATAAAACACTTTGAACCACCAGGTACATACTAAATGTAAAATAGATGTTAGTTTTTCTTATTACATTGTACTGGACACTGTGCTAGGTGTTATTTTAATCTTACCACCACAAAGCTTACTTTCTAGTAGCGACATATAATCCCTGTAAATAAGCATCATGACATGCTATAGATGGTATGATAAAAATGTGGCCATGTACAGATGGGTCAAAGAGAAAAAAGTGGTCAAGGAGTTTGGATCGGAGGTTTATTTAGGGGGTAGCCTCTAACTTGAGTCTTGAATGAAGATTAAGAATTTGCTAGGCAGGTTAGACTGGAGAAAAAAGCACTGTAATCAGAGGACATTACATGAACAAAGACATAAAGACTTGAAATAACATGGACTATTGGAGCAACTGAGTACTGAAGTTGGAGGAAGAAGGGAGAATTCTTTTTTTTTTTTTGAGACAAGAGTCTCACTCTGTCGCCCAGGCTGGAGTGCAGTAGCATGATCTCAGCTCACTGCAGCCTCTGCCTCCCGGGTTCAAGCCTGCCTCAGTCTCCCGAGTAGCTGGGATTACAGGCGTGCACCACCAAACCCAGCTAATTTTTGTATTTGTATTGTGTATTTCAAAGTAACTACAAAAGAAGAATTTTAATGTTCTCAACACAAAGAAAAAAATGAATGTTTGTGGTAATAGATACCCTAATTAACCTCATTTGATCATCACACATTGTATACATGTATCCAAATTTCACGTGTACCCCAAACTATGTACAACTATTAATATGTCAATTAAAACTTTTTAATTCCAGGAAATAAAGATGATGAGTGGCTTAAAAACAAATAAATAAATATATTTCGAGAGGACAGCATGTTTAAATATTTCACAGCTATTAAAATTGGGTGTCTGTAAGAATATTTACTGATATCACATACATTGTAATAGCTAATTTTAAAAGTAAAATACAAAATTACATATATGATGGGATCCTTGTTATTAAAAATACATAAACATGTCCATGTAAAGTTAATTCCAAGATATGTTTATAATTGTCACTTACCCTAGTTGGCAAAATTTGGGGTTGTTTTCATTTTCTTTAAACATATACAGTCATGTGTCACATAACATTTTGGTCAACAATGTATCCCATATATGGTAGTAGTTCCATAATGTCACAGGATCCTAGAGGTGTCACTTTTCCAGCCGGAAACCTCCTTGGCCAGTGGCTCCTTTGCCTGAGTTTTGCTAGGGCCCGCTGGGCCCGTTTCATCCACTCAGCCTGACAGGCCGAACTGGGCTCACACTACTGGCCTAGAAACCACACCTGCCAAGGGTGAGCCAGGTGCGGAGTGGTGAGGGACTTGTGAGTGAGTGAGCATGGGGTCCAGCCACTGAGCACAGCCAGGCAGCTCCAGGCGCTGGTATGGGCACCTGCTCTCTGCAACGCTGTGGCTGGACCAGGCGTACCACAAGCAGCTTCCACGGCTGGCATAGGGAAACGCAGTGGCGCCTGGAAGCCTGGAGAAGCCAGGAGCTACAGAGCCCCAAAGAGGGTGTCACAGCCCTGGGTAAGAGAGCTTCTAGGTCTGGGATCCCTGAGGGGCCGCAGCTCTTCTCTCCTTCTCTTCTCTCCTTCCCATGGCTCGCAACATGGTAGCACAACATTGTGTTAATGCTGGTATAGGCCGAGTGATGTGGCTCACGCTTGTAATCCCAGCACTTTGGGAGGCCGAGGCGGGCAGATCACGAGGTCAGGAGACCGACACCATCCTGGCTAACACGGTGAAACCCCGTCTCTACTAAAAATACAAAAAATTAGCCAGGCGTGGTGGTGGGTGCCTGTAGTTCCAGCTACTCGGGAGGCTGAGGCAGGAGAATGGCGTGAACCCAGGAGGCGGAGCTTGCAGTGAGCCGAGATTGCGCCACTGCACTCCAGCCTGGGCAACAGAGAGACTCTGTCTCAAAAACAAAATAAAATAAAATAGTGCTGGTATAAACAAACCCATCGCACTCCCAGTAGTATAAAAGTATAGCTCATATAACTATGTACAATACATAATACTTGAAATGATAATAAATGACTGTTTCTAGTCTATGTATTTGCTATACTATACTGTTAATCATTATTATTATTATTATTATTATTATTATTCTTTTGAGACGGAGTTTTGCTTTTGTGCCCAGGCTGGAGTGCAATGGTGCCATCTCAGCTCACTGAAACCTCCACCTCCCGGGTTCAAGCGATTCTCCCTTCTCAGCCTCCCGAGTAGTTGGGATTACAGGCATGTGCCACCACGCCTGGCTAATT